>NC_000002.12:24933997-25085512 GCF_000001405.40 Homo sapiens | reverse complement strand
AGCCTGGGCAACAGAAAGAGATTTCGTCTCAATAAATAAATAAATAAAATCATTGTGATGAATATTTTTATTATGCTTTTTTCAAGACATTTATTACCTACTTTAAAAATAGGTGGGAAATAGGAAGGAATATAATACTACAAATGTAGCACATTGGAAACAGCCCTAATTTTAGAGTTTAAAGAGTACTGGTGTTTAAGTCCTGCTTCTGTCATTTGACCTTTGAGTTCCAGGACCAATTCTGTCATCTGACCTTTGAGACTTAAGTTTCCTTATCAATACAATAACAGATTTTCCCTAAGTTACAGTTTGACGATGGAAATCCCAGATCATTTGCCAAAGAATCGAAAAAGAGAGAAATTATCTTGAGCTCCGATAGTTGGGGAAGGCTTCCCAGAAGAGAGGTACAAGAAGACACGGGGTAGGGTTCATAGCAGTGAAAAAGACAGTAGGTGCCTTATTCCTTGTGAGCCAGGCACAGCTCTAAAATACTTCACAAGCACCAACTTTTGTAATCCTTACAACAACCTGTGAAAGGAAAATAAATCTTGGGGCCCCCAAATCACTAAGCTAAAGGGAAAAGTCAAGCTGGGAACTGCTTAGGGCCAACCTGCCTCCCATTCTATTCGAAGTCCCCTCTCTGCTCACTGAGATAAATGTATAACTGACTGCCTCATTTGAAGAGGCTAATCAGAAACTCTAAAAAATGCAACCCTTTCTCTTTTATCTACCTATGGCCTGGAAGCCCCCTCTCCACTTTGAGTCGTTCCGCCTTCGCCTCAAGTTGTCCCACCTTTCTGGACTGAACCAGTGTATATCTTACATATATTGATTGATGTCTCATGTCTCCCTAAAATGTATAAAACCAAACCATGCCTCAACCACCTTGGGCACATGTCGTCAGGACCTCCTGAGGCTGTGTCACGGGCACGTCCTCAGCCTGGCAAAATAAACTTTCTAAATTAACTGAGACTGGCCGGTCACGGTGGCTCACACCTGTAATCCCAACACTTTGGGAGGTCAAGACAGGTGGATCACGTGAGATCAGGAGTTCGAGACCAGCCTGGCCAACATGGTGAAACCCCTTCTCTACTAAAAATACAAAAAAATTAGCAGGGCGTGGCAGCGCGCACCTGTAATCCCAGCTATTCGGGAGGCGGAGGCACAAGAATCGCTTGAATCTGGGAGGCAGAGGTTGCAGTGAGCCGAGATCGCACCACTGCACTCCAGCCTGGGTGACAGAGTGAGACTCATTCTCAAAAAAATAAATAAATAAAAATTAAAAAAAAAATAATTAATTAACTGAGACCTGTCTCAGATTTTCGAGGTTCACAAACCCATGGCATAGGTACTATTTTTATCCTCATTTTATAGATGAGAAAACTGAGGCATTAAGTGGTTAAGTTACCTGCCTAGAGCCACACAGCTAGAATCTGAACCCCAAATGGCAGACTAGAATCTGAACCCCAAAAATCTACTTTCAGAGTCCATGTTCTGAAATACAAAACCAGGGCAGGGATAGGTTACAGTTGTCACAGAGCTAGGGAAACTGAGGCCTATGTGGAAAGAGAACCACTAGGTCAGTGCATCTCAGGCTGTAGAGTGCACGTGTCCCTTGGGGATCTGGTTAAAATGCAAGCTCTGATTAGACTCTGGGGATGCTGATGCCCCTGGTCCCAGGACCACACTTTGAGTCTGCAAACCACCAGAGCATGGTGGTTAAGAATTTGGGCTCAGAGGTCAGATGGGCTTAGGATGAAATTCTAGCTCTTCCCTTTTCTTACTGTCTGGCCCTGTGCAATACTCCACACTTCCTGGGTAGGTAATCAAAGCTGATGGCAGGAGATTCCCAGCTCTCCTCTCCGAGTTGAGAGCTGGAGGCGCTTTGGTCAGGAGCGCCCAGCTTCTGGGTCCCAAAGCAGCTTAGTGGGTGCTGGGAACCCACAAGCACCCCTAGAAAGCTTCCAGCCCAACAATGGTGAATTCTAAGTAGCCACAAAACCCAGCTAGGAAAGAAACAAATAATAGACATTAAAAAGAAACTAAAAACAGTTCATTGTAACGAGACACTAAGTAATGTTTTTATATATTTCTTCCATCTTACTTCTGATGGTATTTATTCTTAATGTTAGTATTCATACATACAAATTGTGGAGTTTAACTCACAACTATATGCCTATAAAAGAATCATTTAATTCTGAGCCATTTTATTTCTAAAACAGAAGCACTTTCCAACGGGTCCTCTTTCACTCTCTAGGGATCGTGTCTGGCAGATCCAACCACAGTAGCTGAAGGTAAATTTATGAAGGATCCTCTTCTGTCACTAGGAGCTGTCTTACCTGATATTTTCATACCTATTTTAAGGAAGAGAGGGAAACGTGATATGGCCAATTCCCTAGTATGTAGCTGCACTGCCACTGAAAAGGCAAATCAGTAGGAATAAACCAAATGTTCAATGACACATGATTTTGGCAGCTTCCTCCTTTAAAACCATGAGAATGGTGAGACCTCCCTCGATGGCTCATTTTGCCCCAAACCCCCTGTCCAGAATGTTCTTCCCCATGTCCTCTGACCTCCCACTCTCATGTCCCTAAGGTCTCTGCCCAAATGTCACCTAGCTGGAAAGAGCTTCCCTGACCAGCATTCCACTTTAATTTTCTGTCCTGGTTTATTCCTTTTCATAGTGCTTTTTACCAATGGACACATTTCATCTGTGTCTACACTCCATCTCCCCACTCGAAGGTAAGCTCCTCAAGAGTGAGACCTTTGTCCACTTGTCCCCACTGTGTCCCAGGGCTGGAATAGGGTCCAACCCATGGGTGGTGGTGGCAGGGGGTGCTCATACAGGTTTGTGGAATAAAGGGAGGACAGTGTGATCGAGCAGAAAAGCAATCATGAATTTCAAGGTCAGTAATTTCAAAGTCAGTAAGTCAAAGTCTATGAGGCACTTAGCAAAAGATCTCTGGGTGTTTGCAAGACAGTACTCCCAGGGGAACTTCAGGGAAAAGTTCCTGTTATAGAACAGTTGGCTCCTGTTCCTGAACTTGGTGCCCAGCCCATCTTCTAGGGCTGCCAACACCTGTAGCTCCTGAGGTCAGGCTCACTGGGACCAGTCTCTCTCCAGGCAGACATACTGGGCATCAGGGAGCCTGGGTCAGAGTTCCTCCTGTCTGCCCAAGGCCTCTAGCCTGCCTTGTCCTCACTCCCCCAACCCCCTTAGCTGGCTCCTGGCTTGGCCTGTGGCCGCAATCCTGGCTGCTCATCAGAATGACCCCTGTGCTGTGAAGAGGGCCCAGAGGTGTTTAAAATGCTCCACCACAATTCCAGCACACAGCCAGGGTGAGAAGTGCCACAAGGTCCTTGCCTGTCCAACATGTGAGAGCAGATCCTGCAGCTGCTGGCAGCCTTGCGACAGAGGACGCAGGACCCCTCACCTGGGCCACCAGCAGCATCTGCGTCCCTGTGACCCCTAGGCGTCGCAGCCCTGTTTCTCCTTTGGCCTGCTTGCTGGATCCTGTTTGCCTGACTGAGCTGTCCCCTTGATCAGAGCTGCCCTCTACTCAGGGCGATTGGTGGTTTGAAACAAACAAAGTCTCAAACACTAACTACATCATGCTTTTCAAAATCTAGGTCCCCTCCCCCAAACTCCCTACTAGTAACCCAGCATCACCTGCCAGGCCCACTGAGATACATTATTTCCTTTGAATTATTTCCTCTCCTTCATTGCCACTCCAGTCTCTCTCACACTGATTTTAAAATCTAAAAAAATTCCAGGGGCCTGTGCGGCTGCAGGCGGTACCAAGGGAATGGGTCTCACTCGGAAATGGCAGCCTCCATGTTCTACAGCCAGCTGTTGGCCGCAGCTACCCTTCGGGGCCACCTTCTCTGGACAGCCCTGCGGGCCACTGCTCAGGCTCTAGGAAGTTATGGATTGTTGAATAACCATGGACTCCAAGTACAGCAGCAATAGCACAGGAATCTCTCACTACATGAATACATGAGTATGGAATTATTGCAAGAAGCTGGTGTCTCCGTTTCCAAAGGATATGTGGCAAAATCACCAGATGAAGCTTATGCAATTGCCAAAAAAGTAGGTACAGAAGAAAGAAATAACATGTGCAGGATAAACTGTAACTATGAGTACTGCTGGCAAGTTCTCTGGGACTCACAAGTAGTAAGAAGCAGGTTCAAAAGAAGTTGAGATGAAGGCGCAGGTTTCAGCTGATGGTCGAGGAAAAGGAACATTTGAAAGTGGCCTCAAAGGAGGAGTGAAGATAGTTTTCTCTCCAGAAGAAGCAAAAGCTGTTTCCTCAGAAATGATTGGGAAAAAGTTGTTTACCAAGCAAATGGGAGAAAAGGGTGGAATATGCAATCAAGCACTGAAGCGAAAATACCCTAGGGGAGAAGACTACTTTGCAATAGGGATGGAGAGGTCATTTCAAGGTCCTATATTAATAGGAAGTTCACATGGTGGTGTCAACATTGCAGATGTTGCTGCTGAGACTCCTGATGCAATTAAAGAACCTGTTGATATTGTAGAAGGCATCAAAAAGGAACAAGCTCTCCGGCTTGAACAGAAGATGGGATTTCCACCTAATATTGTGGATTCCGCAGCAGAAAACATGGTCAAGCTTTACAGCCTTTTTCTGAAATATGATGCAACCATGATAAGAAATAAATCCAATGGTGAAGATTCAGATGGAGCTGTGCTGTGATGGATGCAAAGATCAATTTTGACTCTAATTCAGCCTAACGCCAAAAGAAAATCTTTGATCTACAGGACTGAACCCAAGAAGATGAAAATGACAAAGACGCTGCTAAGGCAGATCTCAACTACATTGGCCTGAAAGGAAATACAGACTGTCTAGTAAATGGTGCTGGTTTGGCCATGGCCTCAATAGATATAATAAAACTTCAGGGGCCAGGAGTGGTGGCTCATGCCTGTAATCCCAACACTTTGGGAGGCCGAGGCGGGCAGATACCTGAGGTCAGGAGGTCAAGAACAGTCTGGCCAACACGGTGAAACCCCGTCTCTAATAAAAATACAAAAATTAGCCAGGTGTGATGGCGGACACCTGTAATCCCAGCTACTCAGGAGGCTGAGGCAGCAGAATCGCTCGAACATGGGAGGCGGAGGTTGCAGTGAGCCGAGATGGTGCCACTGCACTCCAGCCTGGACGACAAGAGCAAAACTCCATCTCAAAAAAAAAAAAAAAAAAAAAAAAAAAAGCTTTGGGGAGGGACTCCAGCCAGCTTCCTTGATGTTGGTGGTGGTGCTACAGTCCATCAAGTAACAGAAGCATTTAAGCTTATCACTTCAGATAAAAAGGTACTGGCTATTCTGATCAACATTTTTTGAAGAATCATGCACTGTGATGTTATTGCACAGGGTATAGTCACGGCAGTAAAAGATGTGGAAATTGAAATACCTGTTGTGGGGGTTACAAGGTACACGAGTTGATGATGCTAAGGCACCGAGAGCAGACAGTGGGCTTAAAATTCTTGCTTGTGACGACTTGGAGGAAACTGCTAGAACGTTCAGAAGGCTCTCTGAAACAGCGGACTTAGCCAAGCAAGCACATGTGGATGTGAAATTTCAGTTGCCAATATGATCTGAAAACCCAGAGGATGGCTGAAGGTGTTAAATGTGCTATAATCATTAAGGATACTGTGTTCTGTGTTATTGTTCTTTTTGGTGTGTGGAGGTTGTAATTGCCATGTAGGTATACAAACTTTTAAAAACATTTGGTTTGCATTTAATTCTATTTATAGAACACTGTTTGTATAAAGAACCTATAATGCAGGTAACTAATTTCTTTTGTTGCAACCAGTCTTATTTGCTTCTCCTACAAAATGTAACTTGCAATATGTCTGTTTATTATTGTTGGATACAAAGTTCTTCATTGATAAGAGTCCTACAAATAAAATAAATTAAAAAAAATTCCAGGGTTTACCACCAGCTCTGCACTAAGCACTAGGACAAGCACTTTACAAATATTTCATATAAGTCTCGTAACAACCCCATAAAGTAGATACTATTATTCTCATTTTACAGATAAAGAGGCAGGATCAGAGAGGTTAAGTGCCCTGCCCAAGGTCACATAGCATGTTCTTCTCTGCCATGAAACTCCCCTAATTCTTCCATCACTTTCCAAAAAATATATCTCTAACAATTTCCCAAGTTCATCTTGTGCTCTCCTTCGCCACAGCCACCTTGCTGGAAGCCTCCTGAACACCTGCCACCCAGTCCCGGGGACCTGGCCAGTCTCTTCACTTCAATTCATTCTTTATGTAGCTCTAAGGCAAATATTTAATTTAGTTTGCTTCATGGTCAAGCAGGTAGCATGACCTGTGCTGCATTAAATGTCAACCATTCAACTTAGGATTTAACAAGGGATGCCCCAGTAGAGGTGGGGACAGTTGCTTCATCTTCAAGTCCTTCCTCCACTGTAGGGGGTCCTCTCACTCATGCTCTGCCTCCTGGAACACTCTGTGTCTAGCAGCCAGAGTCCACAGTGAGAAGGGTTGGGAGGTCGGAAGCAGAGCAGATTAGGGGAGCCACGCAGTCTCGTGGCAGTGAATGAAAGGATGTTTTGGTGACAGGGACCGGCCACAAGCTGGAGATGTTGAAGGGGCAGGAGAGTCAGCGCCACAGACCTGACACCTGGCGGATCCTGACACCTGCTGAGCTCCCTGGAAGCCTTCCATGAACAACACTCTCCGACCACAGGCACAGCGTACTCTCTGCCAGCTCGACTTCTGTGCATCCTTCACACTGTATTACCTTATATAATCTTCTCCCACTGCTTGTTCAGGCGAAGTTATTTCAGTGACTCATCTTTTCTTCTCCCAAGATAAACTGTAAATTCCTAGGTCTCATTTTCTTCTGACCTCAATACAGTATCCTGAGCCCAGCAGGGCTGGAGGGAAGCTGGCGTGATGTGTGACTTCACCTGCCTTTGAACAGCGTGAGACTCAGGGAAGTCACCTCCCCTCCTGGCCTCTCCTTTCCTTCTTATAAACATCAACTCCCTCCTCCGCATTCACCAAGAAAAATGCCTTTTTGCTCAAAATAGTTTGTATTTATTTTCTCAGCTTTGCAATCTTCTTGTAAAGACAAGGGCTGGACTTGATCATTCCTACTAAAGCAAATGGAATTCTTTTTAAACAATTTACAATAAAATCTGACCCAGGGCTAATGGCATGGACACCCGCTTCAAATGAATTGGAGGAAATGGAACAAAGTTCAGAGAGAGAGGTGCATCTGATTCAAGTGCCTCCCACGAGGCACTTGTGTTCACTGACATTAATGAACTCCAGCAGTTCGCAGGGCACTTGCTGGGTGGCGTGGGGAAGAGAAAGAAGTTTAAAATAGACAGGTTCTGCCATCAAGGAACTTACTCTGTAGTTGGGGACACAAAACCTGCACACATTTAAGGTCAAGGATATGTCACAATGAGACTAAGGAGTCCATAAAACTGAAGAAATCTCTGAGTTTAATGAATCTAGGAAGGCTTCCTGGAAGAGGTGAGATGTGAGCTGCCTCACTAGGGGTGGAGACAGCTGGTAAGTACTGGTGAATCCATGAAACAAAAAATCAACAACCCTCCAATGGGGACAATTTTAAGAAAAACAAAAAGGTTCCCTCTTTTCTTTTCCCCTTTTCCTTGCTTCTGAATTTAAAAGGAATAGATGCTCATGGGTATAAATTTATAAAACGGGGGAAAAAAGAAAATGAACATCACTTAGAATCACGTAATTCAAAGATAACTATTAGAATTTCAGTGTATTTGTTCTAGTTTTTGTGTCCATGTTTATGTATATTTTAAAATATATATGTATAAAATTGGGATCCTACAGGATAGTGTTAAAACTGAATTTCTTCTTATATTGTGAGCACTTACTTTCTTACTGAAGGCCTTTCGGCCAGGCATGGTGGCTCACGCCTGTAATCCCAACACTTTGGGAGGCCAAGGCAGGCGGATCAGGAGGTCAGGAGTTCAAGACTAGCCTGGCCAACATGGTGAAACCCCATCTCTACTAAAAATACACAAAAAATTAGCCAGGTGTGGTGGCGGGTGCCTATAATCCCAGCTACTCAGGAGGCTGAGGCAGGAGAATTGCTTCAACCTAGGAGACAGAGGTTGCAATGAGCTGAGATCGTGCCATCGCACTCCAGCATAGGCGACAACAGCAAGACTCCATCTCAAAAAAAAAAAGTTTTAAAACTTCATTTTAATGGCTACTTATTATTTCATCTTTTGACTGGATCCTGATTTATTTAATCATTCTCTGTTGTTTCCAGTTTTTCATTATTCTGAGTGACGCAGCAATTTGCCTTTGGTAATTAAAGCCAGGAATCATTCAGGCAGAGCCTGGTTTTGTTTTATTGGTGCTAAGGAAATCAAACAGTACCATGTGGCTGCAGGAGAGGGGTACATCTGCAGGGGCCGGGACATGTATCTCATCTGGGAAAGATTCAGGATTGAAGAGATCAAGAGGAAATGCTGATGAAAATGAATTTGGGGAAGGAGGCAGGATTTGAGTTTCCAAACAGATCTTACCGGGAGTAGAATTAAACAGCAGCTGAATTCTCCCTGGGGAGATAGTGTGGGTGAGACTTGCCTGAAGTAACACACAAATCAGTAGCTGTCAGTGGCCTGACCTTTTGGAGCTCTAGAGCTTCCGAGACACTCACCCGTTTCCGGCCAATCTTGGTTAATCTGATTGCCACCTTAATTGAGGATGGGGATTTAAAAGGAGAGAAACGTGTCTGATTGATTTAATGTCAGGGCTTCAATTCTTCATGAACTACAGGCTTCTTTGGGCTTTGATATGCTCTTCAAGCAAAGAATAGATGAAAATGAACAGAATGTTTTTCCATTCTCTGTCTCTCGGGACCACTAACAGCAGGAAAATTTTATCCCAACCATTTTGGGGAAATAGAAAGCCTGGTTTCAAACCCAGCTTCAGCTTTGGCAAAGCTGTACAATCTTGTGTGCCTTGGTCTACTTATCCGCAAAATGGAAGGAAGGGAATCTACTTAATAGGGTTGTGGTGAAGACTAGATAAGTTAACAGAGTGAAGTTCTTACAACTATTCCTAGCACACAGTAAGAACTCAGTAATTGTTAGCTTTCATCATCATCATCATCAGTATTACTATGATAATTATTATTAAAATCTTTTTCCCAACTTAGGAGAAAAAAGGCAGGGTAGAATAAAATGGAATGTTGGAGCAACGATAGCCCTTAATGTCCTTTATCTTTATTTTATTCTTGGATGTGAAGTACCAATCGCTATTAAGACATCTAAATCCAAGGCCAAGCATGGTGGCTCACACCTGTAATCTCAACACTTTGGGAGGTCGAGGTGGGAGGATCACTTGAGCCCAGGAGTTTGAGACCAGCCAGGGCAACAAAGTGAGACCTCATCTCTAAACATAAAAATAAAATCAGCCAGGCATGGTGGCGCATGCCTGTAGTCCCAGCTACTTGGGAGGCTGAGGTGGGAGGATCGCTTGAGACTGGGAGGTCAAGGCTACAGTGAGCAGTGATCATACCTTGCACTGCATACCACCATACTCCAGCCTGAGTGACAGAGTGAGACCCTACCCGAGGACAAGGCTCCATGAGGAAACACAAGTGAAAGGGCATCATCATGACCGTCAACAACAGCTAAAGTGTTTTGAGCTTGTCTGTTCCAGGCATTATGCATTCTTTCATTTAATCTTTACAAAAACCCTATGAGGTTGATACAGTTATCCTTGTTTTACAGATGGCACTAAACCTAGGCTCTTATCTAATATGTTGACTTGTAAAAATAAAGAACTGAGGTCTCTGCCTGCAAATACCTTATATTGTTGGTAGGTAAAAAATAGAATTGAAAATATATTCACCAGGAACATGGAACATATAATCAGGATCATAAGAATTAACTGTTAAACACACACAGAGCAAGGTTGCTGAGGAAACTAGAGATGGGATGGGAAGGGGTCAGAGGAGACTAACTTTGAACATTATTTAAATGAGAAGGATTCCATTGTTTAGTGAGAAAGAGGGTTTTCCATGTCAGAAAGGGTGAAAAGAAAATAGACATGTCCTGAGTGCCTATTATTTTAACTGCCTAACTTGAGCACTTTGTTAAAAAAATAAAATCCCATGAGGTTAGTATTGTTAATCTTCAGAAGAGAAAACCAGGGCTCACAGAGGTTAGTTAATTTGCCTACGATCACACAGGAAGTGAGGAACAGAGTCAGGAACAGAGCCAGGGAGGCCCTCTGACTTCAGAGCTGCAGGAGATTTGAACTGAGAATAAATATGCCAGGTGGGGATATGAAGAAAATGTGCTCAAGTAGGAAAGGACAATTTCCAGGATGGATTATTCTTGAAAATCAGGTGTAACTGACGAAATCTGAACAGACTCTGTGGATGGCACCCCCCAAGTTCCTGGTGTGGATACTGAACTATAGTTACGCAGGATGTTCACACTAGGGGAGGCTGGGTGAAGGGTACAAAGGACCTCTCTGCGCATTTCTTTGCAACTGCCCATGAATCCATATTTCAAAATAAAAAGTTTTTTAAAAAGTTGGCAGATAGGCCAGGCATGGTGGCTTATGCCTATAATC
This sequence comes from Homo sapiens, assembly GCF_000001405.40. NCBI lineage: Eukaryota > Metazoa > Chordata > Mammalia > Primates > Hominidae > Homo > Homo sapiens. The sequence goes on along the minus strand of NC_000002.12, from coordinate 25,074,886 downwards.
CCAGCACTTTAGGAGGTGGAGACAGGAGGATCACTTGAGGTCAGGAGTTCAAGACCAGTCTGGCGAACATGGTAAAACCCCATCTCTACTAAAAATACAAAAATTAGCCTAATGTGGTGCATGCACCTGTAGTCCCAGCTACTCAGGAGGCTGAGGCAGGAGAATCACTTGAACCTGGGAGACGGAGGTTGCAGTGAGCCGAGATCACGCCACGGTACTCCAGCCTGGGTGACACAGCAAAACTCTTGTCTCAAAAAAAAAAAAAAGTTGGCAGATAGTGAAGGCAAAGATGCTTCTTTCTTTTCTTTTTTTCTTTTTTTTTGAGATGGAGTCTCGCTCTGTCACTCAGACTGGAGTGCAGTGGCGCAAACTTGGCTCACTGCAACCTCTGCCTCCCGGGTTCAAGCGATTCTCCTGCCTCAGCCTCCTGAGTAGCTGGGATTACAGGCACACACCACCACGCCTGGCTAATTTTTGTATTTTAGTAGAGACGGGATTTTGCCATATTGGCCAGGGTGGTCTTGAACTCCTGACCTCAAGTGATCCATCCGCCTCGGCCTCCCAAAGTGTTGAGATTACAGGCGTGAGCCACTGTGCTCAGCCAAAGATGCTTCCTTTGAGCAACGGTGGTAACTGGTGGAGGATTCTGGTTCAGGAGTCTGATGGGCCATGGAGGCACAAGAGCATCCCAGCATCATGCCAGAGCCTCTCCCTCCACTCCTTAGAGCGACCAACCAGCCCCACACCAGGTTGGTCACAAATGGAGGGAGAATAAGATTTGCTGACTCATATATTGAGTATCCATTATGAGTCCCCCCCACTGTGCCAAGAGCTACCTGGCTATATGAGACATTGCCAAGACACAGGGCTGGTTTGGAGGCTCTTACAGTCTAGTTGGAGAGAAAAGGCACAATCAATAAAATATAAGCGGCTTGGGTATACTGATGTTTCTCATGGAAAGTTTTATGTGTTGCAAAAGCTCAAAGGAGGGTGTGTGCTCCTCAGGCTGGTTGGTCAAGGAGGGCTTCACAGGGGAGGAAGAATTGAGGCAGAGCCTGGAAGGAGGTGGGCCTACCAGGAGAACAGGAGAAAAAGGGGGTCCTGGCAAGAGAAACTGTTGAGCAAAGGGGCACACATGCATGTGGTTTCAGAACCTAAGCTTGCCTGGGAGCTCCTTGCAGGCACCTGGCACCCAGATCTCAGTGTACAGCAGGCATTCCGGAGAATCATTACATAGTGGGCTGGGCGCAGTGGCTCATGCCAACACTTTGGGAGACCGAGGCAGGTGGATTACTTGAGCTCAGGAGTTCAAGACCAGCCTGGGAAACATGGCGAAACTCCTCTCTACAAAAAATACAAAAATTAGCCAGGCATGGTGGCACACACCTGTAGTCCCAGCTATTTGGGAGGCTGAGGTGGGAGGATCACTTGAGCCTGGGAGGTGGAGGTTGCAGTGAGCTGAGATCGCACCACTGTACTCCAGACTGGGTAATAGAGCAACACTCTGTCTAAAAAAAAAAAAAAAAGTATTAAATAGCTTAAATAATATACACAGTTTTGTATTTTATAGCATAGAGAGAGCACGCCTTGGAATACAGCAAAACTGGGACCATGAGCTATGTGACCTCAGGCAGGTGTGCCACGCCCTCTGTGGGTTTCTTTGTCTGTGGGAGGTGAGCAAAACACCGAGTGTGTGCTGGGACAACACTCCATAACTGGCAGCTCCCTGGTCCTCTTCATTCTATTTCTTAAGTGTTTATCTGGGTGTTGAATTGTCATCATAACTATCGTTGTGAATGTATGCTTCAAATTCCAGTAAGAAGATCCACAATAATGCATCAAATCTTTTCCATATTGTTTGACATATATCTTGTTTACACTTTCATGCTATTTAAAACAATGCTGGAAAGAGTGTGCAGACATTACAGCTTTTTCCATTTTCTGGATTATTTCATTAGGCTGGATTTCCAGAAATAGAGTCAAAAGGTATGCATATTTTTAAGACTCAAGAATTTCAATGGTCTCCTCAGGAGCAGAAAAGGCCTGAGAGTAGCTGGAGGGGAGATTCCAAGCAGCAGTCCTGTGGGCCCCAAGGCTGCAAGAAGCTCTGACTGCCCAGGGAGGAGCTCCGTGGCATTCTGCAGCTGTTTGAGGGCTTTCTGAAGAGGAGGTACTGGAGGATAAGAATGGTTTATTAGGAAGGGTAGCCATGGGTCTGGCTATGGTTGAATTTGAGTTTAGAGAGCTAAGAAGAAGGGAGACCATCTAGAGAAGAAGCAGAAGTCAAGGCATAAGAAAATAAGGATGCTGGGTGCAGTGGCTCACGCCTGTAATCCTAGCACTTTGGGAGGCTGAGGTGGGAGGATCGCTTGGGCCCAGGAGTTCAAGACCAGCGCAGGCAACATAGTGAAATTCTGTCTCTACCAAAAAATGCAAAAATTAGCCCAGTGTGGTAGCATGCACCTGTAATTCCAGCTATTCAGGAGGCTGAGGTTGGAGGATCACTTGAACCTGGGAGGCAGAGGTTGCAGTGAGCCGAGATCACACCACTGCACTCCAGCCTGGGTGACAGAGCAAAATCTTGTCTCAAAAAGATAAAGATAAGAAAAGAAATAAGGGCTGGAGCCAGGGTGGTGGGGAAAGAGAACAGAAAGGAAGGGCCAGATGGCCCAAGCACTGAGTAACAGCCACCCACGTCCACAACTGCCAACACGCAGAGGGAGAAGCTGAGAGCCTGGAACTGGTGACGAAAGCGGGGACCCCACTCCCGGAGCTTCATAGCCACACTGGCAATGCAAACTGGATTAGAAACTCATTCCACCACTAAGGAAGGCTGGCACCAATAAAACCACACCACCAGGGTGATGTGCGAGATTTGAGACCAGCCGTAAGAAACAAGAGGAACTGGGGCCAGAGTCTGAAGACTGCCCAGTAAAACAGATACATTGAAAAGCTGATGAAAACTCAGGGGAGAAAGCCACAGGCAGGAGCCTTCCAGAACCAGCATCTATTTCTCTCACACCTGCTAATCACAGGCACAGGACACACTTCACCAGGATGTTTGTAAACAAAGGAACTCTGAGTGGAGCTTAGCCAGCTGGCTGAAAGGTATCGATTAAGTGCAAACCTCCATGACACAATTTGGAAGACAACAAAATAATTTCGGCGACAAACAAGACATAATTTAGACAACCACATGGAAAAATTCCTAGGCTAGACCATTTAATGAGAAAGGTATATACCCAACTGCATCCAAAGTAGGACCAAAACTATGAAAGTTACGATTACATTAGGACAGGGGATGTGCAGAAAAGAAAAGAGCTTGGCTGGCTGGGTGCAGTGGCTCACACCTGTAATCCCAGCACTTTGGGAGGCCGAGGCGGGTGGATCGCGAGGTCAGGAGTTCAAGACCGGCCTGGCCAACATAGTGAAACCTCATCTCTACTAAAAATACAAAAAATAGCCAGGTGTGGTGGCGTGAACCTGTAATCCCAGCTACTCAGGAGGCCGAGGCAGGAGAATCGCTTGAACCCAGGAGGCAGACATTGCAGTGAGCCAAGATCGCACCACTGCACTCCAGCCTGGGCAACAGAGCGAGACTCTGTCTCAGAAAAAAAAAAAAAAAAAGGCCGGGCACGGTGGCTCATGCCTGTAATCCCAGCACTTTGGGAGGCCAAGGCAGGCGGATCACGAGGTCAGGAGATCAAGACCATCCTGGCTAACACAGTGAAACCCCGTCTCTACTAAAAATACAAAAAATTAGCTGGGCATGGTGACGGGTGCCTGTAGTCCCAGCTACTTGGGAGGCTGAGGCAGGAGAATGGCATGAACCCGGGAGGCGGAGCTTGCAGTGAGCCCAGATCGCACCAGTGCACTCCAGTCTGGGCGACAGAGCGAGACTCCGTCTCAAAAAAGAAAAGAAAAGAAAAGAGCTTGAGCCTGACCTGTGGTGTATTAAGCAACAATGAATTTTCTCCTTTGTTTTCATTTCCATTAACGTGCGGATCTCTGCATTAATCCGAATGGATATCTTCACCCTCCCAATGTTGTGTGCCTTCACAGTTTGTCAGATGAGCAGTTTAGTAGAGTCTGTCCCTCTGAGCCTCTGCGCCCTCCATCTCTTCCCACTGCCACCCCGCCTCTCTCCCTTCCTCAGCTCTTCATTGACAGTGGCCCATTCCTGCCAAATATCTCCCACTCCTGGCTGCTGGAGGGACGTTTCAAATAGAAAGGATGTCACCTGCTGTTCACTGCTTTCCTCCTTCATTTTCTTATCAGCCATCACTAGCTCCTCCAGATTTGAATTTTAAAATCATCAGAAGCCAGTAGGATGCGGTGGCTCACGCCTGTAATCCTAGCACTTTGGGAGGCTGAGGCAGGTGGATCACTTGAGACCAGGAGTTCGAGACCAGCCTGGCCAACATGGTGAAACCCCCATCTCTACTAAAAATGTAAATATTAGCCGGGCGTGGTGGCATGCACCTGTAATCCCAGCTACTCAGGAGATTGAGGTGGGAGAATTGCTTGAACCCGGGAGGCGGAGGTTGCAGTGAGCCAAGATTGCGCCACTGCAGTCCAGCCTGGGAGAAAGAGCAAGACTCTGTCTCAAAGTAAATAAATAAATAAAATCATCAGAAGCCCCCGGTAATCACAGGGAAAATATTGTGTAATGAGGTAGGAGGTGGGACTCGACTCTGGGGGTGGGGCTTGAACACTGGACCAAATTGAGGACTAGCTAAAACAAGGCAGAAGCAGCTTTTCATAAGCCACACCCACCAGTGTGCCATGTCAGTTTACCATTGCCATGGCAATAGCCAGGAGTTACTGTCCTTTCGACAGCAAGGACCTGATGAATAATCAATGACCTGATGAATCAAAAGTTACAACCCTGGCTGGGTGTGGGGGCTCAGGCCTGTAATCCCAGCACTTTGGGAGGCCGAGGCAGGCAGATCACGAGGTCAGGAGATTGAGACCATCCTGGCTAACACGGTGAAACCCCGTCTCTACTGAAAATACAAAAAAATTAGCCAGGCGTGGTGGCGCATGCCTGTAGTCCCAGCTACTTGGGAGGCTGAGGCAGGAGAATGTCCTGAACCCGGGAGGCAGAGGTTGCAGTGAGCCAAGATCGTGCCATTGCACTCCAGCCTGGGCAACAGAGCAAGACTCCGTCTCAAAAACAAAAAGTTACTACCCCTTCCCTAGAGATTTCTGCACATACTGCCCCTTAATCTGCATATAATTAAAAGTGGTATAAACACGACTGCAAAACTGCCCTGAGCTGCTACTCTCAGACAGATTGTCTACATGGTAGCCCTGCCCTGCAGGAGCAGTCATGGAGCTGGAACACCGCTGGAGCTGTAATGCTGCCACTTCAATAAGGCTGTTTTCTTCTACTCTATCACTAGCTTGCCCTTGAATTCTTTCCTGGGCAAAGCCAAGAACCGTCACAGACTAAGCCTCACTTTGGGGGTCGCCTAGCCTACATTAGTATGGAATCTTTAATAATCTTTATTTTAGCATGGTTTGAAATCAGGAAGAGGGGAAAAAAGCATCAGACAAGATACATCGTGGCCACCAGAGACAAGCGATGGCTTCTCATCTCGCTTTAATTGACCCTGGCTTCGCTGCTGTGCCCAAGGCCTGGCCTCCTTTGCTTACTTAGAAAGTGACTCCAGTACAGGCCAGGCGCAATGGCTCATGCCTGTAATCCCAACACTTTGGGAGGCCGAGGTGGGCGGATCACCTGAGGTCAGGAGTTCAAGACCAGCCTGGCCAACATGGTGAAACCCCATCTCTACTAAAAATACAAAAATTAGCTGGGTGTGGTGGTGAGGCTGAGGCAGGAGAATCACTTGAATCCGGGAGGCGGAGGTTGCAGTGAGCCAAGATCGCGCCACTGCATTCCAGCCTGGGTGACAGAGTGAGACTCTGTCTCAGAAAAAAAAAAAAAAAAAAAGATGCCGGGCGCGGTGGCTCACGCCTGTAATCCCAGCACTTTGGGAGGCCAAGGTGGGCGGACCACAAGGTCAGGAGATAGAGACCATCCTGGCTAACACGGTGAAACCCCATCGCTACTAAAAACACAAAAAATTAGCTGGGCGTGGTGACAGGCACCTGTAGTTCCAGCTACTCTGGAGGCTAAGGCAGAAGAATGGCATGAACCCGGGAGGTGGAGCTTGCAGTGAGCCGAGATCGCGCCACTGTACTCCAGCCTGGGGGACAGAGCGAGAATCTGTCTCAAAAAAAAAAAAAACATAAAAAAAACAAAAGTGACTCCAGCACAGATCATACGGTGAATCTTTGTTTTATTCATTGCTCAACACCTAATATTCAAATGCTAGCAAACACACAGGCCCTTAAACCCAGTTATCTTATGCTTGTGCCCCAGGATGAGCATAATGAATGAGGCTTGAGAAATCTAACTTAGAAAATGAGGCGTGGAGCCTTCCCGATCTTCCTCAAGCCTGCATTGACTCAGCTTGCAGATGCCTGCTGTCTATGTCTGTCAGCTTCAAATTGTTATTAATGTCTCAGTATTTTTAGGGCTCATCACAGTCTGTTTGATAAAATCTAAGTTTCAGCTCCTCAGTGTGGGGAGTGGAAACAGAGATCAGAGTAGGACACGACTGTCGGCTTCCTCAAAAAAACTAAATAAATAATGGCTCCCCAGCAGCATCTCAGACTTATGGCTCATACACACATCAGCCCTGACCTTACACACCCAGTCCAGGAGAACCAGGGGTGAGAGCACCACAGGAGAAGCATGGATGCTTTTCCTCCCCTTGGCTCAGAAAGCCCATGTCTGGGTATCTGCACCTGCTCGTATGCACAGGGAAGCAGGTAAGAGATGGATCTGGTGCCTTTGTTTGGAAACAGCCTACAATGCTCATCCATAGGGGACTGGAAAGGCCAGGTGCGGTGGCTCACACCTGTAATCCCAGCACTTTGGGGGCCAAGGTGGGTGGATCACTTAAGCCCAGGAGTTTGAGACCAGCCTGAGCAATATGGCGAGATCCCCATCTCTATTTTTTTTTCCAAAAGAAAAAAAAGTTTTAACATTAAAAAAGAAAATAGAGGGCTGGCTAAATAAGGCAGGGAACAGCCATGCAATGCACACTAGGCAGCAGCTGAATTGAATGAAGCAGAGCTCTGAGCACCGCCCCAGACAGCTCTCAAACATACTGTTAATTCAAAAGGAGGCTGTGGCCAGGCAGATCACGAGGTCAGGAGATCGAGACCACCCTGGTTAACACGGTGAACCCCGTCTCTACTAAAAATAAAAAAATTAGCCAGGCGGGGTGGCAGGCGCCTGTAGTCCCAGCTACTTGGGAGGCTCAGGCAGGAGAATTGCTTGAACCCAGGAGGCGGAGGTTGCAGTGAGCCGAGATCATGCCACTGCACTCCAGCCTGGGCAACAGAGTGAGACTCTATCTCAAAAACAAAAAACAAAAAAAAAAAAACAAAAACTAAAAAGGAGGCTGTAGAACACCTATGATATGATTCCATTTGTGTGCACCCTCACAGGCCAAACCAATGGGGTGTGTATGTAAATATGTGCGTGAAATATGCTGTCATGAACAAAGAAAGATCTGTAAAGATACACAGCACAGTGTTAACGCTGGTCACCGAGTAGAGCTGGGTGGGGGTGCCTAGGGATGGAGAGGGTGAGGAGCGACTTAAACTGCACTACCCAATATGGTAGCCACTAGTCACTTGTGGCTACTTAAATTAAATAAAATTTAAAAATTCAGTTCCTCCAGCAAACTAGCCACATTTTATGTGTTCACTAGCCACATGTGGCTAATGGCTACCACACTGGACAGTGGAGACACAGAGCACTGACATCATTGCAGAAGTATTACTCATGTAATTGAAAATAAATGTAATTTTTATTGTTTCTCCCATTTTCTCTTCAGGATAAAACTCCTCACAAAATCTGATGAGCAAAAGTTGTCTTTAAAGATTTGGAATCTTGGAGTTAAAGCACACACGCACACACATGTACACACAGGAACTGTTTTCTAAACTTGTTCGGCTCTGTTCTTGCTGGAATTTTGAACCAAAGGAGCTGATTGAAGATCTAGAAGTCATGTTGTTTATTCACACACACACACAGCATGCAACACAAAATGCATCAAGTGCATTAGACATAGTAGAAGGTGAAAAGAAATAGAATGCACAAGTCCCTGTCCCCTTAGAGTAACAGCATGCAGCCATAATGAAAGGAAGCACAAGTGTCACTGAGGTCAGAGAGCCAGCGTGCTGGGACTTCCTTCAGAGGGTGAAGACATTGTTTTGGTTTAGATGCCTCCCCATGGAGATGAAGTATCAGTAACATGTGGACAAAGACAAGAAAGGAAGGCATTCCAGGCAGGGGGAATAGCATCAGCAAAAGTGTGGGGGTGCCAAGCACAAGGGAATGTTCTGAGAGACATCAGCTGGCCAGACTGTCTGGAGTAGCACTGGTAAAGCTGGAGGTGTCAGGGAGGGGACCGAAGGTGAAAGGCCCTCAAATGCTAGGCCAAGAGGGGAAAGCTGTCATCATGACTAAATAACAGCCACTATCACCTTCTATTGTGCTCTTAGAATGCGTAAGGAATCTACTTCCAGTGGATAAATGGATGGAGCAAGCCCTGACCCTCCCAGGAGGCCACTAAGAATGTCCCTATCCTGGAAGAAGAGCAAGACAAGGCCCTGAACTATAAGTGTCCAGCTGGAAGTGTGACAAACTTGGGGATGTCACACTGGGCTAGTGTGTGACGTGGGGAGGTGGGGGGATATCTGGTCTCCAGCCCGCAGTGAAGTGCTAAGGAGTTATGAAAGGAAGTCAGAAGGAAAGCAGAGGCTTCTGACTAGCATCCACCTGCCCCATAGCCAAGTGGTGACATGTGTGATCAGAGTAGAGGACCAGAGATGAGGTGGGTGGAACACAGGCTACATCTGCTGCTCTCCCTCCCTTCATGCGGGAGGGGTTTCCAAGGAGACATTCAGAGGCAGGAGACAGCAGAGGGTGTCAGGAAGAGCCTCCCAGCACCTGCCCATTCACACTGGGTGAGTGTGTGACACGGGTGGGCTGGGAACAGCCCAGAGCAGAGGCCATCATCACAAAAGGAGACAAGGACCCCAGGGGCACTGAGTCCTGGCAGCTTAGGGGAGGTGAATTTCCAGAAGAAAAATGGCTGAGAGAGGAAGAAGCAGTGAGAACTGAGAAGCAGGTGAAGGCACAGGGCCCAGCCCTCAGGCCTGCACTGGTGACCTTCCCAAGAGGTTGTCAGTGGGGAGGTGACACTGGAATTTCAAATAGTGTGAAGTGAATAATGACTATGAAAGGGGGAAAGGTGCAATCTCAGCTTCAATGACTGCTGGCTCAAGAGCATTGTAAAATATTATATAATCAGCTGAGCATGGTGACTGACACCTGTAATCTCAGCACTTTGGGAGGCCAAGGTGGGAGGATCGCTTGAGCACAGGAGTTTGAGATCATCCTGGGCAACGCAGTGAGAACTCATCTGAACCAAAAAAAAAAAAAAAAAAAAAAAATAGCTGGGTGTGGTGATGCGCACCTGTAGTCCCAGCTGCTCGGGAGGCTGAAGAGGGAGGATCACTTGAGCCAGGGAGTTCGAGGCTGCAGTGAGCTATGACTGTGCCACTGAATTCCTACTGGGGTGACAGAGCGAGACCTTGTCTCAAAATAAATAAATATTATAGGAATCATTTATTTAACAACAATAACAACAGAAGCTGTTGTTGCTTTGTCTCTGAATAGATGGGGGCAGATGTGCTGCCTTGGTGTGCCCCGCCCCCCCCGCCAGGTGGGAACAATTGAGGGATGCAGGCTGCTTCTAACACCAGCAGTGCAGATCCTTGGGAACCAGTGACCCTGGGCTAGGGGTGAACTGCCAAGGTGGTCCTGACACCTGGCTTCAGTTGTGTCCTTAGAATCCAAAATGTGTTTGGTAGCTTTGATGATAAAATTACTGTTAATTTATTGTTGGTATTTTATAACTTGATTGGTATTCACTTTAAAAATGTTATTTATCAGTGTAAGTAATGTATTGGTTACATTTTTGGAAGGAAGTGCTTTGTAAGCCTTTTAAGCTCCAGGAATCCCAATAAATGGAAGCAAAGGGAAAAAAGTTAATGCTTCTGTATTCAGCTTTCTTTAATGTGATCTGGGCTCCTCGTAGGAATTCATTCATCTGAATACCTACTACTTGGCACGTCGAGGCATTCGATTTTTTTAAGTACATGTGGACTCTGGGGGTAAGAAGCATTCCAATAAATAACTCATACTCTCAAAGAGCTTGCATCATAGCGAGTAGAATCTATCACATGAAAACAATAGTGTTAGAAATCAGGATTTGGGCTTTACAACACATTCATGCTTTCCCCTTTCCCAAAATATGCCCAGTTTCCTATTGTGGTCAGCAGGCAGCCTATAAAAAGCAGGGTTACTCACCTTCAGCTTTCTAAATGAACACACAGTATCAAATATAGTAACAGAGGAAGCTTTATTTTTATGGAGCCAAACTGATTGAGATCAAGAGTAAGTGCTTTAAATATACAGACGAACTCACAGATTTAAGATGCAGATTCTGAAAAGCTAAAGATCCAAGATCAATCATTCGAACGCCCAAATATATCATCAGAGAGACTGTTGCAGCATGCACGCAGTGCCAGAACACAAGACAGGCGCCATGCCCAGAGCCTCCGAAACGTAGAGCCAGGGCCAGGGTGGTCACGGTGCCAAAGAGAAATTTCAGAAGCAACACTTTTGAAATGCAAAACAGAATCAGAAGCAAGCACCAGAATTCTGCAAAAATGCAAAACAAGTACTAGGTTGAGCCCTACTAAAAATGCCAAGTAAGCAGCAGGCCAATCAGAGCCAAGACCCACTCTTAATGCAGCAGCTCTACCGCGCATGGGCCTTCTGGGAACACCTGCACGAGGTAGGAAGTCCCTCAAGCAGATTCTGCCCATCTCAAGAAGCCAGGAGCAGATGGAGTGAGAACGCAGCTGGAAAGAGACAGCTCCTGAAAAGCTCTAAATGAGGAGTGGAGAACCCTTCCTCCAATGCAGACCCTCAGGCCCCTGGAGAGGGTGACCCTGTTACTGCCACACTGTCATCAAAAGGATCGGTTGATGGTAAAACATGTATTACAAGCTCTGTAATTAACATCAGCCTCAGCTAACATCTATGAAGCTCTCACAATCGGTTAGGAGGTTTGAATGCATTTTTACTTAATCCTCCCAACAACACTGAGGTGGGGTCTATCGTCTCCATTTTACAGATGAGGAAAATGAGGCTTAGGGCAGTTAAGTAACACTTCCAAAGTCACATTAACTGCTAAATGGGGTAGCTGGATTCAAACCCAGGGCTGTCCGACTACAGGGTCTTCACACTTAACCCCTGGCCTGCAAAGAACACACTGAGATTAATCCATTTCAGTGTGCCATTAGAAAAAATATATACCATTCCTAGCCAGAGAGTATAGGTCCTTATACAGAGATGTCACAAGCCAGCACATTATTAAGGAACAGGTGAATAATAAGGTCATTAAAGCCTCTGTGTACTTAGGAGAATGACATTACTGTGGGCTGTGAGGTCACAAAAGCCCCAAGGAGGAAATGGAAAAATCAATCCTTCGGCCAGGCACAGTGGCTCACGCCTGTAATCCCAGCACTTCGGGAGGCTGAGGCAGGCAGATCACTTGAGGTCAGGAGTTCAAAACCAGCCTGGCCAACATGGTGAAACCCCGTCTCTACTAAAAATACAAAAAAATTAGCCAGGGGTGGTGGGTGGGGCGGGTTGGGGGGCACCTATAATCCCAACTACTCGGGAGGCTGAGGCAGGAGAATCGCTTGAACATGGGAGGCGGAGGTTGCAGTGAGCCGAGGTCGCGCCACTACACGCCAGCCTGGGCGACAGAGCGAGACTTGTCTCAAAAAAAAAAAAGAAAAAGAAAAATCAATCCTTCACACCCAGCCCTGCTCAGCCATGTCTGTGATTGTGCTGAGACAGTGCCGGAGGCCTAGGAGAGTCAGGCTTTGTTTTGTCATTGAAGGTCCCCTGAGAGTCAGCAACGCCAATGGCAGTGCCCAAAAGGCAGGCCTTACACTCAGATGGCCCTGCCGTATGGGCCTCCCCCCACTGCCCTGCCGGCACCATCAGCTTCCCAGCTGCCAATGGGATGGACTTCCCGGGTCAGCTTCCTCTGCTTGCTACTCGGCACGTAAGTTGTCTAGTAGCCTGCGGCCCTGACCAGCAGTTCTCAATGAGCCCTTTCACTGGTGCTAGGCTGCTGGTAAGAGCCCTGGTGCGGGCTGGCACAGGCCCTTGACCGTCCGTCTCCTAGTATACCCACTGCCAGCACTGCAAAACAGCCCTGGGATTGTTTGCACGGATGTTTTCTTCTCTTCCAGGGTTTCCTACTGTTTTACTGCAGTATAATTAACATGCAGTAAGATGCACACATTTAAGCATTCAGTACCTTGAGTTTTGACAACTGCTTTTACACTTGTGTAACCATCACCCAAACAAGAGGTAGGACATTGCTAATCCCCTCACAAAGTCCCCCTTTCCAGTCAACCCACTGGCCCAACTATCTGATTTCTATTATCATAGATTTGTTTTTGCATGTATTCTTACATAATCATTTCTGAAACGTAATTAGAAGAGTCTAGACAGTTATCCACAAGGCCTCTGGTGATGAAGAACACTTTTAATTATATTTACATTCTGCCATTAAAAATACATGCTCACTTCTGAGCATTAAGTTATAGGGAAAAAAATTAAAAATTAAAAATACGCACTCACTACACGAAGTGTAGAAAATACAAAATGTTTTAAAAGAAAATTAAAACCATTGCTTACACTGCCTATAAGGTGGCCCTGCTCCTCAAAGAGCACTAAAAAAAATAAAATAAAGTAAAAATAAATTAAAAGAAAATTTAAATCATCCATGATCCTTCCACCTAGAAATAACCACTGTTAGTGTTCTAGTGGGTTTCTTTCAGGGCCAGTACATCCACAATCACAGGCTGGCTCCCTGGTGTGGCATTAGTTTTTTGTTTTTTTTTTTTAACAAGTAGGCCAGGCAGGGTGGCTCACGCCTATAATCCCAGCACTTTGGGAGGCCAAGGCGGGTGGATCACCTGAGGTCAGGAGTTTGAGACTAGCCTGGCCAACATGGTGAAATCCCGTCTCTACTAAAAATACAAAAGAAATAGCCGGGCGTGGTGGCGCACGCCTGTAATCCCAGCTGCTCAGGAGGCTGACACAGGAGAATCACTTGAACCTGGGAGGTGGAGGTTGCAGTGAGCCGAGATCACGCCACAGCACTCCAGCCTGGGCAACAGAGGGAGACTCCGTCTCAGAAAAAAAAAAAGTAAATAAAGCTTATTGGTGTTCACTTCTGAGTAGGCCATCTACGTTGCCCGTGTGAGAGGCAGCTCGATCAAAAATCAAACTCCAGGTTGGGCACGGTGCATCCCGCCTGTAATCCCAGCACTTTGGGAGGCTAAGGCAGGGGGATCACTTGAGCTCAGGAGTTCAAGACCAGCCTGGCCAACATGGTGAAACCCCGTCTCTACCAAAAAACAGAAATTAGCTGGACGTGGTGGCACACGGAGCTACTCCGGAGGCTGAGGGACGAGAATCACTTGAACCCAGGAGGCAGAGGTTGCAGTGAGCCAAGATTGCACCACTGCATTCCAGCCTGGGCGACAAAGTGAGACTGTTTCAAAAAAAAAAAAAAAATCAACCTCCAATTCAAGGTGCCAACCCCTGTGGCTGAGTTGGAGCCAACATTGAAATTCACATTTATTCTCTTCTGTGGAATATGTCTGGCTCTGTTCTCTCCATTGGCAGTCATATGGGCCTCTCGCAGCACCTCGGTTTTGTCACTCAGGACAGTGGCTAGTTTTTTGGTTTTTGTTGTTGTTGTTGTTTGTTTGTTTGTTTTTTGATTCGGAGTCTCGTCGTGTCGCCCAGGCTGGAGTGCAGTGGGGCGATCTCGGCTCACTGCAAGCTCTGTCTCCCGGGTTCACACCATTCTCCTGCCTCAGCCTCCCAAGTAGCTGGGACTACAGGCACCCGCCACCATGCCCGGCTAATTTTTTTGTATTTTTAGTAGAGACGGGGTTTCGCTGTGTTAGCCATGATGGTCTCGATCTCCTGACCTCGTGATCCACCCACCTCGGCCTCCCAAAGTGCTGGGATTACAGGCATGAGCCACCGCGCCCGGCCGACAGTGGCTAGTTTTTTTATATCACCCCCTCTCCAAGGTGAAAAGCCCATTTGCCATTAACTCAGACCACCCCTAACAGGTACTCCAATTTTGATAATCATCCCTCCAGCCACTTTCACAAAACACAGTAGCAGACATTCTCTTAATTTTATCCAAACTTTCTTTCCTGAAAAAAAAATGGCACTTTAATGATATTCTTAATTTGAGTTGGAAGAGTTTTCCAGAGATCCAAAGAATATGAAGATGCCAGTTTCTAAGTCTCCTTTTACAGACACCCCTGATCAATAAGGTGACTAACACAAAGCCATCGATGTGGTCTGATTCATGCTATTGGCAGAGGGTATGATCAACTCTGATAACATGTGTATGAAAACTTTTTTAAAAAATTATGGTAAAATATATATAATATTCAATTTGCCATTTTAGCCTTTTCTTTTTTTTTGAGACGGAGTCTCGCTCTGTCACCCAGGCTGGAGTGCAATGGCGTGATCTCAGCTCACTGCAACCTCCGCCTCCCAGGTTCAAGTGATTCTCCTGCCTCAGCCTCCCAAGTAGCTGGGACTACAGGCCGCGCCACCACACCTGGCTAATTTTTGTATTTTTAGTAGAGATGGGGTTTCACCATGTTGGCCGGGCTGGTCTCGAATTCCTGACCTCGTGATATGCCCATCTCAGCCTCCCAAAGTGCTGGGATTAGATTACAGGCCTAAGCCACTGCACCTGGCCCATTTTAGTCTTTTTTTTTTTTTTTTTTTTTTTTTTGAGACAGAGTTTTGCTCTTGTTGCCCAGGTTGGAGTGCAATGGCGCGATCTTGGCTCACCACAACCTCTGCCTCCTGGGTTCAAGCGATTCTCCTGCCTCGGCCTCCCGAGTAGCTGGGATTACAGCAATGTGCCACCACGCCCGGCATTTTAGCCATTTTTAAATGCAGTTCAGCGGCATGAAGTCCATTCACACTGTTGTGCAACCATCACCATCATCTATCTCCAAAATTCTTTTCACCTTGCAAAACTGAAACTCTACCCAGTAACAACAATTCCCCAATCTCCACCCCCCCCCCCCCCGCAGTCCCTGGTAACCTCTATTCTACTTTCTGTCTCTACGAATTTGACTACTGTAGCTTCCTCATACTACTGGAATCATATACTACTTGTCCTTGTGTGACTGGCTTATTTCCATTACCATAATATCCTCAAGGTTCATCCACGTTGTACTATGTGTCAAGATTTTCTTCTTTTTTAAGACTGAATATTGGCCGGGTGTGGTGGTTCATGACTGTAATCCCAGCACTTTGGGAAACCCAGGCAGGTGGATCACCTGAGGTCAGGAGATCGAGACCAGCCTGACCAACATGGTGTAACCCCATCTCTTATTAGCATGCTTGTAATTCCACCTACTCGGGAGGCTGAGGCAAGAGAATGGCTTGGTCCCAGGAGGCGGAGGCTGCAGTGAGCCAAAATTGCGCCATTGCACTCCAGCCTGGGAGACACACCGAGACTCCATCTCAAAAAAAAAAAAAAAATCAACACTGAATAATATTCTATCATACACAGATATTGCATTTTGTTTATCCGTTTGTCTGTCGATGGACACTTAGGCTGCTTCTATGGTTAGGCCATTGTGAATAATGCTGCTGTGAACATGGGTGTACAGATGTCTTAAGTCTTTGCATTCATTTCTTTGGGGTTTATGTCTATTAGTGGGATTGCTAGATCATATGGTAATTCTATTTTTCCCTCTCTGAGGAGTCACCATACTGTTTTCCCATAGTGGCTGCACCATTTTTTCCCACTAGCTGTACACAATGATGGTTCCAGTTTCTCCACAACCTCACCAACACTTGGTTATTGTTTTTTTTTTTGGGGGGGGGGGCGCGGGGAGACAGAGTCTCACTCTGTCTCCTAGGCTGGAGTGCAGTGGCGTGATCTCGGCTCACTGCAAGCTCCCCCTCCAGGGTTCAAGCAATTATTGTGCCTCACCCTCCTGAGTAGCTGGAACTACAGGCACTCGCCACCATGCCTGGCTAATTTTTATATTTTTAGAAGAGACGAGGTTTTATCATGTTGGCCAGGCTGTTCTCAAACTCCTGACCTCAGGTGATCTGCCTGCCTCGGCCTCTCAAAGTGCTGGGATTACAGGCATGAGCCACTGTGCCTGGCCAACACTTGCTTATTTTCTGCTTTTTTTGATAATAGCCATCCTAACGGGTGTGAAGTAGTATTTCACTGTGGTTTTGATTCCTATTTCCCTAATGATGAGTGATGTTGAGCATCTTTTCATATGCTTCTTGGCCACTTCTTTTTTAAAAGAGATGGGGTCTCACGATGTTGCCCAGGCTAGAGTGCAGTGGCTATTCAAAGGCTCAATCTCACTACTAATCAGCATGAGAGTTTTGGCCTGTTCCGTTTTCAACCTGGGCTGGCTCACTCCTCCTTAGGTAACCTGGTGGTCCCCTGCTCTCTGGAGGTTACCATATTGATGCCAAACTTAATGCAGACACCAGACTGGCATAGTGAACTACAGCCCAGAACTCCTGGGCTCCAGTGATCATCCCGCCTCAGCATCTGGAGTAGCTGGGACTACAGGCACATGTCACCATGCCAGCTACATATCTTTTTTGAAGAAACGTATAGTCAAATCCTTTGCCCATTTTTAACCAAAGTTGCTTGTTTTTGTTGAGTTATAGGTGCTCTTTATACATTCTGGAGGTTAACCTATTATCCAGGATATTATTTGTAAATATTTTCTCCCATTCTGTAGGTTGCCTTTTCACTGTTGAAAAGCATCATTTGATGCACAAAAGTTTTTAATTTTACTGTAGCTCAATTGATAATGGTCTTTTTTTTTTTTTTTGACGGAGTTTTGCTCTTGTTGCTCAGGATGGAGTGCAATAATGGTGCAATCTCGGCTCACTACAACCTCCGCCTCCCAGGTTCAAGCGATTCTCCTGCCTCAGCCTCCCAAGTAGCTGGGATTACAGGCATGTGCCACCGTGCCCAGCTAGTTTTTGGATTTTTGGTAGAGATGGGGTTTCTCCATGTTGGTCAGGCTGGTCTCGAACTCCCGACCTCAGGTGATCCACCCGCCTCAGCCTCCCAAAGTGTTGGGATTACAGGCGTGAGCCACCGTGCTCAGCCTGATAATGGTGTTTTCAATAAGAATCTATGTGGGATATAAGAGAATAACGTTGGAATAAAACAGATCTGTTTTTTGTTTTTTTTTTTGTTAGCCATGCCACTTAACGAGCTGGGTGACTTGCATAAGGCATTTAACTTATCTGAAAATGGCAGAGGAAGCAGGGAAAGGCATACCCAGCATGCAGAAGTTTTGTGAAACTAGAATGCATGCAAAGCAAGAATTGTAGCACCAGCACTTGAAAGGGACATGGCTCCTACCTACCCCTACCCCAGTGGGGGTCATGCCATTAGACAGGACCTCTACAACAGACACTGAATTCACAAAGGGAGAATTATCCCTGTCTTACCAATGAGGAAATTTACACATAGCCAGGTTACATAAAGAACCTGAGATGGCAGCACCTACATTCCCTCTGGGATCTTCTGAAAACTCCTACTCTGGCTGTACCACCAGCCCCGGGTGCCTCAGCTGCAGGACAGAAGAGCTGGAAAACCCTTCCAGCCCATTCATTCCAGCTCTCCCAGTTTACGGATGGTGAAACTGAAGCTGAGAGAGGTTAAGAATCTTGCCCAAATTTACACAGCAATCAGCTCTAATGGCCAACTCTTCCCCTTGTCCAGAAATGTCCTTGATAAAATAGAAGGACAGTGCTGGTGCCTCCCAGTGCCACCCACACCTCTCCAGAACACTCAGCCTGCTCTCTGAGAGTGCTGTCTGGGGGAGAGGAGAACGTTTTGAGCAGCCCTGTGGAAAAAAGCTTTTGGATGGTCAGACGTGCTTACTGTATTTGCCAGCTGCTGGGCCCAGGCCTGCCTGTAGGATCAGGCAGTTTTAGGAGCTGGATGACAGCAATGGGAAGACCCTGCTGTTTTTCCCTCTTCTGCTTTGTCTGTATGTGACCTGAAGACCTGTACTGCACACAAGCTGAAGGTGCACAAGGCTGCTTAGTGGTTTATCAGGAACATTCCAGCTGGCTGCTTCCAGGCAACGAGATACAGACATTTATTGCCTTTGCCTCAAAGGGCCTTTTCATCATTCTTGTTTTGTTAAAAAAAAAAAAAAGCACAAGTAATATGAATGGAAATCAAAATAGAGACTTATCCGTAATTATACCATTAAATGACCTTCCTTTCAAAAGAAGACTGTGACATTTATCCTGAGTGCCACAAACCAAGGAGGAAATACACGAGAAGTCCTTCTAACGGCCTTAACCGTTTCAGCAGGAAGGCCAGAGGGCTGTGTCTACAACTAACGCTTCCAAGTGTGGAGGAAAAAATCAAATGGCTGTATTCTAATATATTCTTTATTTATTTGGAACAAAAATCCATGAAAAGACACGCTGAGATGACAAAATGTTATTGCTGTCACTACAGGACTCTCTCTGACCTTAGAGAAATTCCTAGCCCATGCTCATTGATACCCTGGAAACACCGGCTGCTATGTAGGTATAGATGAATGGATGATATGTATCATTATTTTATAGTCAGATGCAAACATTTGGACTCTTACTACTACATACCAAAGTTCCCGGTTAGATGCTAGAAAAACAAAGCTGATTAAGATAGTGTCCTCAAGAGGTTCACAGATCTGTTGTGTAAAGAAATAAACGACAACAGTAAACTCTAAGATACAGTAGAGGAGACCCGGAGGGAGGCTGCAGAGCTCCAGATTTTCCCAGCATCCACCCTGTATGCTTCTGCTCTAGAAGCATCCCTCCTTGCACACGCTGTGAGCAGCTATAAGGTGCTAGGAATGCATCCCTTCATTGTAAGTCGTTCCTTTCTACAAGATCTTCAGGCAAGGTCTTTATAAATGTTCTCGTAATTTAGGGATTATTGTTCATGCAATGTACAAACAGTATTTCTTTTTCTCCAGCTAAAAAGAAAGTGGGGATATGGAAAGAAGTCTTTATGAATAGCTACGACAAGGGTGGGATGGGAGCTCTGCCAAGCTAAGATTCAAGACTCCTGGCTTCTGAATGCTTGAGTTTATCTGGGTCCTTCTGCACGGTAATAAGACAGTTAGCGTTTGAATCCAGGAATCCTAATTCTCAGATTTATAGACAAACCTCTCGGTCAGGATAAAGGACATACTATAGAGTACCAAGCTTAAAAGTCCCTATGGGTCCCCAGTGAGGGACTCGTATAACCCAAGTCCTAGATGTAAGGCCACAAGTTAACTATGTAAAATCTATGAAAATATTCAATTTGGAGTTCTTTAATAGTGAAATTTGCTGTTTGGCATAAGACACGTGCAATTGCCATCAGGCACAAAGTGGTGTTTTAATGTCACATGAAGCTCTGTGAATGCTTGCTTAGGAGGCAATGGAGTGAACAGACTTGAACCAGCTGCATGACATTGGGTAAGTTATTGAACTCCTGAATCTCAGCATTCTCTCCCAACCACAGAAACAATGATGACATCCACCTCCAAAGAGTTCTCCTGAATTGAGATAATGAATAGAATGGCATGGAATAAACATTGCAAAATTTTAGTCATGCATACGAATTTAGAATTGCATAAGGATTTAGATAAAGATGTCACCTCTGTCCTCTTTGTGGCTTAAGAGATGTTCTTATCTTTCCAGTGCAGAGATGAGAGGGACACAGTCATGGATTGCTAACCTGTGGGCAGCCCTCTAGAGGACAAGGAAGTGTTCACGGTGATCAGTTCATGGTTGTCCCCTCTCAGGGTGGACAGACAGCACCGAGGCAGGCTCCTCAGTATTGCAGGAGCCCTGTTTCTACGTTCTTACTAACCAGACCCTTCTAAGGATTTTTATTAACAAATACAGCCTATATATGACACACTCATCCTTGTATGCAGGGATTGTCACTTTCTGGAAAGGGTATGGCTATATTTCAGAAGCATCCATAAAAATTACTTGCATGGGTCAGGTGCGGTAGCTCATGCCTGTAATCCCAACACTTTGGCAGGCGGATCACCTGAGATCAGGCGTTCAAGGCCAACCTACATGGCAAAACCCCGTCTCTACTAAAAATACAAAAAATTAGCTGGGAGTGGTGGCAGCTGCCTGTAATCCCAGCTACTTGGGAGGCTGGGGCAGGAGAATCGCTTGAACCTGGGAGGCAGAAGTTGCAGTGAGGTGAGATCATGCCACTGTACTCCAGCCTGAGTGACAGAGGGAGACTCCATCTCCAAAAAAAAAAAATGAATTACTTGCATGGTAATAATATCACCTTTCACAGGTACAGTGTCCTGCAATATAAGTCCATGTACATAGACATTATCTCATTTGACCCCCCTCATACATCCTCATGAGTGGGGCAGACTAATTATCCCACTTCTCCAGGGGGAGGAATGAGCTCAGGGAAAGATGAACCAAATGTCCAGGGCCCTCTGGCTGGAAGACGGTCATCTGGGACTTGGACCACCACGTGTCCATCAATTCCAGCCTAACCCATGGACTGCACAGCTTTGCTGTCTAGGGATAAGGGATCTGCGCAGGACTGGGCCTGCACCACACAGCCCGGTCCCAGGTCCACCTCTTAGAAGCACCAATTGCTGCTTAGACCTGAAGATGTAGGGAAGGAATTTTTTGTTTGTGTGTTTTTTGGTTTTGTTTGTTTGTTTGACGGAGTCTCGCTCTGTCGCCCAGGCTGGAATGCAGTGGTGCGATCTTGGCTCACTGCAACCTCTGCCTCCCAGATTCAAGCGATTCTCCTGCCTCAGCCTCCTGAGTAGCTGGGACTACAGGCACATGCCACCATGCCCAGCCAATTTTTGTATTTTTAGTAGAGATGGGGTTTCATTCACCATGTTGGCCAGGATGGTCTCAATCTCTTGACCTCGTGATCCGCCCACCTCAGCCTCCCAAAGTGCTTGGATTGCAGGCGTGAGCCACCGCGCCTGGCCAGGGAACGAGTTTTAATTCACACCCAAACCATCAGAAGAGCAGAAGCTCTCCTGCAATGCCAGGCTCCTGGTTTCTGCTCTTCTCCAGGCCAAGCACTGACTGACCACGGAACCAATCTCTAAGAACACTGCCCATCCAGGTGTGTGTGTGGCCCAGCCTTGGTGGTGACACCCCACTCTGCAGTCTGCCTGTCTCTGAAAGGCATGCCCATGCTTTCTTTCCAGGCCATTGTCGGTGCTTGTACTGTCTTCCGCCCTCCTCAGCCTACTCTCTGGCCTGTCTCTCAGGACCTATCCTCATTGTGGTCCCCAAAGCTCTTCCTGGGGCCTTTCTTTCTCTTTGACAAAGCAAAGCTAAGGGAGCTGGGAAAGGTGCCAAGAGTGAGAAGTGAGAGAAGTGATCCAGAAGTGAGAGCTCCCAGCCTCGCTGTTGACTGGCCTGGGACCTTCAGCCCTGCCTCTTACATTCTCTTGCCCTTCCCAAATTATTAATAACACATGAGTCTGAAATACAGTGAGCTCCACAGAGGAAAGACCTGTATTCTCTGGACTATTCAGAATGTTCTAGGGACAGTGTGATAGGAGGCTGAGTCCACACTCTGGAGCTGGAATGCTGAGGTTCAAATCCCAGACTTTTCACATAACTGGGTGGCCATGGAGAAGTTATTAAACTTCTCAATGCCTCAGTTTTCTCATTTCTAAAATAGGAATACTAATCCTTCATCATGGAGTTGGGGGAAGATTATATAAGACATAAAAACTGCTTAGTACAGACAAATTTATCCCCATAAAAAAAGTGCTTAGAATTCTGCCTGGCACAGGCTGGGCAAAGTGGCTCATGCCTGTAATCCCAGCACTTTGGGAGGCCAAGGCGGGCAGATCACAAGGTCAGGAGTTCAAGATCAGCCTGACCAACATGGTTAAACCCCGTCTCGACTAAAAATACAAAAACATTAGCCGGGCATGGTGGCACACACCTGTTAATCCCAGCTACTCAGGAGGCTGAGGCAGGAGAATTGCATGAACCCAGGAGGCAGAGGTTGCGGTAAGCAGAGATCACGCCACTGCACTCCAGCCTGGGCGACAGAGCGAGACTCCGTCTCAAAAAAAAAAAAAAAAAAAAAAAGAATTCTGCCTGGCACATAGTGGTGCCCAATTAATGGAAGCCACATTAACAGTAACTGTGTTGTTACTCAGAACCCACCTGAGGCTGAAATATACAGAGTGAGTAAGAAGTTACAAAGAAGCGAATGAAAAAGATGATGCCTCAGAATGCATTCATTCAACATGGTTTTTGAGGACCGGGCAGTGTTCTGTGCCCTAAAGATGCAGTAGAGAACAAGAGAAATGTGTTCTCTGCCAGGCGCAGTGGCTCATGCCTGTAACCCCAGCACTTTATTTATTTATTTATTTATTTTTATTTTTTGAGACTAAGTTTCACTCTTGTTGCCCAGGCTGGAGCCCAATGGTGTGATCTTGGCTCACTGCAACCTCCGCCTCCCGGGTTCAGGTGATTCTCCTGCCTCAGCCTCCTGAGTAGCTGGGATTACAGGCATGTGCCACCATGCTCGGCTAATTTTTGTATTTTTAGTGGAGACTGGGTTTCACCATTTTGGCCAGGTTGGTCCTGAACTCCTGACCTCAGGTGATCCACCCACCTCAGCCTCCCAAAGGGCTGGGATTACAGGAGTCAGCCACCGAACCCAGCCAATCCCAGCACTTTGGGAGGCCGAGGTGGGCGGATCACCTGAGGTCAGGAGATCAAGATCAGCCTGGCCAACATGGTGAAACCCTGTCTTCACTAAAAATACAAAAACTAACCAGGCAGGAGTGGTGGTGCACGCCTGCAAACCCAGCTACTCGGGAGGCTGAGGCAGGAGAATCACTTGAACCCGGGAAGCGGAGGTTGCAGTGAGCTGAGATTGCGCCACTGAGCTCCAGCCTGGGCGACACAGCAAGGCTGTGTCTGAAAAAAAAAAAAAAAACACACACACACACAAAAGAGAAATGTGTTCTCTGCTTTCATGGAGCTTACAGTTTACTGGGGGAAACAAACAAGAGAAATATTAGTGATGAATGGCCATGCGGTGAATTAAAATATGGTACGCAAAGGAGTGTGACCAGATGGCCTCCTGAGATGGTGAAAGCAAGAACAGCTTTTCAGTGAAAGATCTCAGAAGATCACATCATCCATCAAAAGAGAAATCAGGCTGGGCGTGGTGGCTCACGCCTGTAATCCCAGCACTTTGGGAGGCTGAGGCAGGTGGATGACCTGAGGTCAGGAGGTCGAGACCCGCCTGGCCAACAGGGTGAAACCCCCATCTCTACTAAAAATACAAAAAAATTAGCCAGACATGGTGGCTCACGCCTGTAGTCCTAGCTACTCGGGAGGCTGAGGCATGAGAATCGCTTGAACCCAGGAGGTAGAGGTTGCAGTGAGCTGAGATCATGCCACTGCACTCCAGCCTGGGCAACAGAGTGAGACTTGGTCTCAAAAAACAGAAGAAAAAAAAGAGAAATCATATCCACAACTGCAAAGGGGGGTGGAGCCTCCATGAGCAAACCAGGAGGCAGCTGAGAGCAGGGCCAGTGGCAATTTCACCGAGGGGAATCAGTCACTCAACCTCTCCACAAACTCGCATTTGGACCAATCTTAATACCATGCAAACAGATAAAGAGCAGATTAAAGTGACTATATTTTGAAAAGAAATATCTAATTTAGACCAAGGTTTAGGAAGTGTCTCCTCTTCCAGGATGAATTCCTCTCAAATCTTAGCATCCCACAAAAGCTGTATTCGTCCTAGGCAATCTCATTAATTTTACAATGCTAATGAATCTTGTAAATGACTTTCCCCCTCTTAATTGTGGCCTACAGTAAGCTCAAAATGGAATTTGCAACATGGCCTGCTTATATGCATTTTTTTCTCTGAAATAACTTTATTCCTGGCTTTTTTGTGTCTAAGATTTTCTTTGCTTTGATCTCTTTATGTATTGTCATGTGTGTGTGTAAAACATATGCCTCAAATCTTCTTTAGAATAAATGTATAGCTCTAGGTAATTTATTTTCTATTTTAAAATCAACTTTTTAAAAATAACTGCTTATATAACCCCCATTTTATGTACCATGGAAAAAAATTTTTTTAAGTTTCAATTCACCTTATCCTCACCCTTACCCCTGCACCCCCACACAGAGCTTTTTTTAAAAAGGAGCCAACATCATCCTTTGCATATGCACAGAAACTTGTGGTCCAAAGCTTTCTTGCTCCTTAAGCCACACCTGTGGCTGCAACAACTGTCTCCTCCTCTGCTTCTCTTCATTTTCACATCACCTCCCACCACCCTGCACAGCTGCCCCCAGCTTGATTTCACTTCACATCACTTGAGCAAATCAGTCCTTTGACAGTTTCAAACCATCAATGGCTCCCACTGCTCACAGGAATGAGTGAAAACTCCTTATCTTGACATTATCTCCTTATCTATTTTTTTTTTTTTCAGATGGAGTTTCACTCTTGTTGCCCAGGCTGGTGTGCAATGGCACGATCTCCACTCACAGCAACCTCCACCTCCAGGGTTGAAGTGATTCTCCTACCTCAGCCTCCCAAGTAGCTGGGATTATAGGCATGCGCCACCACCCCTGGCTAATTTTCTATTTTTTTTTTTTTTTTTTTTTAGTAGAAATGTCGTTTCACAATGTTGGTTAGGCTGGACTTGAACTCCTGACCTCAGGTGATCCACCCACCTCGGCCTTCCAAAGTGCTGAGATTGCAGGCTTGAGCCACCGCGACCAGCCTATCTCCTTATCTATCACATAATTCTCCACTTAAACTCTGCTCAAACCCAGGCAGCTCCCCCTGACTCTCGCTGGACAGGTCTTCCCCATCCCCACCTCCACGCACACTTCCTCACATTGGTGCCTCCACCAGCCACACCTGCCTCCCTTCTCTGCCCCTCAGTAGAGGAGAAAGGGCTGTTGTTTCTGAAGCCTGCCCAGATGACTCCACCTCGCACTGGTCTCTTCCACTTCAAGATACTGCTGGTTGAACATCTGATGAGTAACTCCATTCCACCGTGCAAAACAGTGCAACTTTACTGAACTTTATATCATTTAATTGTTTGCATGTTTTATAACTTGTTTGCCCAGTTAAATTCTAATGTTCTTGACAGAAACTACTTTTATATATTCTTCTATCCCTCATGATGGCCTCTGTAGTATCATACATAGCTGCTACTCCATAAATACTTGATAGCTTATATCCCTAGTCTATATCCCTTCCAAACACAGAGCAGACAGCAAAAGACAGGCAAGTAGTTAATAACTCATACTCCCATGACGATTTACTAACACGCAAATAGTTAGAAGACAAAGAAGTGTTTCACTAATAATAAAGAATGTAAGTTAAAGTGATATACATTTTCTATCAAATTAGCAAGTACTAGGGGAAAAATCTTAATATTGAACGCTCTCGAGAGTATAGGGAGATAGGTGATTTTATAACTGCTAGTAGGAGTATAATGGATACAAACTGAAAGCAATTGAACAATATGTAACTAGTCTTAAAATGTTTATATACCTTGACCAATCCATTTGAAGGGCTACAGTCGAGGGAAAAATTCCGCTAGTAGGAGTACAACGGATACAAACTGAAAACAATTGGACAATATGTAACTAGTCTTTGTAGGGAGCAGCCCCACAGGGTGGGTGGGTTTTTCTCCCCATGTGTGGAGACAAGAGATTGTAGAAATAAAGACACAAGACAGAGATAAAAGAAAAGACACCTGGGCCCGGGGGACCACTACCACCAAGACGTGGAGACTGGTAGTGGCCCCAAATGCCTGGCTTTTCCTAGGTTATGATTGTAGAGCAAGGATTATTATAATATTGGAATAGAGAGTAATTGCTACAAACTAATGAGTAATGATATTCATATATAATCATACCTATGATCTATATCTAGTGTAACTCTTGTTATTTTATATATTGTATTATACTGGAACAGCTCGTGCCCTCGGCACCTGGGTGGCTTGCCACCCACAAGTCTTAAAATGTTTATATACCTTGACCAATCCATTTGAAGGGCTACAGTCTAGGGAAAAATTCCGAAGTTCACAGAAAGCTTTGAGTACCAAGTACTTCTCCAGGGGCTGTAATTCAGAAATACCCCTAAATGTACAGAAAGAAAATTATACATCCTTTCAGTGCACCGTTATGTAGACATTAAAAATGATAGCCAAGGAGTTTACTAACTTGTGGGGCATGCTTATATTCTAGTGCTAATTTTAAAAAAAAGGATATAAAATGAATGATTCCAGGCCAGCTGTGGTAGTTCATGCCTGTAATCCCAGCACTTTGGGAGGCTGAGGTGGGAGAATCACTTAAGGCCAGGAGATCAAGACCAGCCTAGGCAATATAGCGGGACCCCATCCTACAAAACACAGAAAATTAGCTGGGCATGGTTGCACATGCCTGTAGTCCCAGCTACTCAGGAGGCTGAAGCAGGAGGATCACTTAAGCTCAGGAGGTTGAGGCTACAGTAAGCCATGATAGTGTCACTGCACTCCAGCCTGGGGGAGAGTGAGATCCTGTCTCTAAAATAAATAAAAGGTTCCAACCGTCTAAACAAACACATGGAAAGAAAGATATTAGAGCAGTAAATGTTATATTGTTTATAGTTTACTGTATTTTCTAGATTTTCTAGAGGGATTCGATGATTTTTTATATTTTTCCTTTGTTTGATAGAAGGAACGGTATCACAGTACTGTTCTTAATCTTATGGAACATAAATTTTTATTTGTTTTATTTTTGCCTTTAAAAGAAAAATTAAGGGCCAGGCATGGTGGCTCACACCTGTAATCCCAGCACTTTGGGAGGCCAAGGTGAGCGTATCAGTGTGAGGTCAGGAGTTCGAGACTAGCCTGGCCAATGTGGTGAAACCCCATCTCTACTAAAAATACAAAAATTAGCCAGGTGTGGTGGCACACGCCTGTAATCCCAGCTACTCGGGAGGCTGAGACATGAGAACTGCTTGAACCTGGGAGGTGGAGGTTGCAGTGAGTCAAGACCACGCCACTGCACTCCAGCCTGGGCAACAGAGTGAGACTGTCTCAAAATAAATAAATAATTAAAAAATAAAAAAATTAAGAAACAGAGAAAAGAGAGTTAAGAAAAGGGGAAGGGAAAGTGGGGGCAGCTCTCTTATCCTAATTCATCTCTGCCATGAGATAAACACTGCTGTCATCTTTCCAGAGGCAGGAAAGAGGCTCAGAAATGCTCAGGTTCAAGATTACCCGAGGGTCGGAGCTAGGGTTCAGACCCAGGCTGTGGGGTTCTTGGTGCTCCTTGAAGCCAGGATCAAAAAGAAATAGCAAGGAGAGGGCTGAAGGAGGTGAACACAAAACCAGAGCGGTAATTGATGTCATAGATAGAAGGTTGCTTTAAATGGGTAGAACTGTGGATGATTTTTTTCTCCACTCTTTTCCAGATTTTTCTGTAATATAATATTACCTTTTTATTTTTATTTATGTACAAGAAAAAAACTGTGACCACTTGTATTCACTGAACTGTGAGCAGCAAGAGAGAAAACAGGCTCACCTGGCCCCCTTCTCAAGGGGAATAAAGGAGTTGGAGTGGTAGGTGGGAGGGGGAAGGGCACACAGCTCCCACATGCATAGGCCATACCTGGATCATGGGGCTGCAGAAACCTTAGGATCTGGGGGAGGAGGCTGGTTTATGTGTGTGCACATGCGCACATGTGCTGTGGGATCGCCCTGAGGAGGAGCAGGGAGTCTATGGAGATTTCTGCAGAGTAAGACTTTGTACTTCGGCCGGGCGCGGTGGCTCACGCCTGTAATCCCAGCACTTTGGGAGGCCGAGGCGGGCGGATCACGAGGTCAGGAGATCGAGACCATCCTGGCTAACACGGTGAAACCCCGTCTCTACTAAAAATACAAAAAATTAGCCGGGCGAGGTGGTGGACGCCTGTAGTCCCAGCTACTTGGGAGGCTGAGGCAGGAGAATGGCGTGAACCCCAGGGGGCGGAGCCTGCAGTGAGCCGAGATCGCGCCACTGCACTCCAGCCTGGGCGACAGCGAGACTCCGTCTCAAAAAAAAAAAAAAAAGACTTTGTACTTCAGGGGGAGCCTGCCTTGCCCTGCAGTTTCTCCAACCTTTTGGCAACAGTCTCACTCACGAAATAGGATTCCGTCAAGCACATTTTCGGTGTGGTTTTTTGTTTTGTTTTGAGATGGAGTCTTGCTTTGTCACCCAGGCTGGAGTGCAGTGATGCTATCTCTGATCACTGCAACCTCCGCCTCCCAGGTTCAAGCAATTCTCCTGCCTCAGCCTCCCCATTAGCTGGGATTACAGGTGCACGCCACCATGCCTGGCTAATTTTGTGTTTTTAGTAGAGACGGGGTTTCACCATGTTGGCCAGGCTGGTCTCAAATTCCTGACCTCAGGTGATCCACCCACCCTGGCCTCCCAAAGTGCTGGGATTACAGGCGTGAGCCACTGTGCCCAGCCCAAGCACATTTTCAAAAAGTTGTTCACTGTCGCTATTTACAGTCAGCATTCTCAACCACTAAGCGGGACGAGAGGCATTTGCTGAGGATGAGGCAGCACTCAGAGGTGAGGAAGAATTAGGGCAGCTTTGGTGTTAGTGGGATCGGGGTGCACAGACTGTGGTTGGGGAAATCCTTTCCAAACGTCCCTCCTAGCTGGCTGCCCTAATTCAGAGGGTGGCATTTCTCAGAGCTCTGTTTCACCTCAGCGGGGAAACGGGATGCTCCAGCCCAGATGAGAGCAACAGGGAAACTCTTAGCTATATAATTTTTTTTTTTTTTGAGATGGAGTCTCGCTCTTGTCTCCCAGGCTGGAGTGCAGTGGCGCCAATCTCAGCTCACTGCAACCTCCGCCTCCCAGGTTCAAGTGATTCTCCTGCCTCAGTCTCCCGAGTAACCGGGATTACAGGTACCTGCCACCACGCCCGGCTAATTTCTGTACTTTTGGTAGAGACGGGGTTTCGCCATGTTGGCCAGGCTGGTCTTGACCTCCTGACCTCAGGTGATCTGCCCGCCTCAGCCTCCTAAAGTGCTGGGATAACAGGCGTGAGCCACCACGCCCAGCCTTAGCTGTATAATGCTAACAAAAAGAAAAGCTCATGGGAATCCATTTTTGCATAGAATTTGCTAATGATCTTCCCACCCCAGTAAAAATGCTTTCATTTTTTCATGTCCCTTGTCAGTCTGCCTTCATAGGATTCCCACACAAAACTGTGGGCAGTCACTGTGTCCTTTTAGAGAGCCATTTCCAGAAACTGATGGGTTTAGGAATGACTGAGTGGTGAGGAGACAGCTGGGGTGAGTCTGAGAAAGGGAAGTGGCTCAGCGGCTTGGCACTGGCACAGTCGAGGTGATGTGCCTGTGTAAGCGGGGGTGGCAGGTGATACAAACAGGCTGTGCCCGAGTTGGCAGAGAGGAAAGGAGGGAACAGGTCCAAGGGGGCCCAAAGAGGACAGGCTCTTGAGCAACCAGTTTCAGGAGCTCGGAACCTCTTGTGATGCTCACAACAGACCTGGAAGGTAGACAGACATGCGTTTCACTTTTGTATACAGGGATTTAATTCTGAGTGACAATTCCACTTGCCTGAGGTCACCCAGCCATGAAAGGGCTCCTGGATTCAGATGGGATGACCTCAGAACAAGGATTCCTTCTATCCTAGATAGCACTGTGTCCAGCAAAGACATGGGGTTCCCAGCCTCCCATAAGCAGAAGGAAGAAGGCTGAGCTGTGGAGGGCAGAGGCAGGGTGAGGAGGGGGAGGGATGGGAAACGGAGATCCTCCAGAGCTGGACAGATGGGAAGACAAATTTATAGTGGCACAAGTCACCAAGGTGGGTGGACAAGGTACACCTTTACCTAAAGCTCTTAGGTGACTTTCGGCTCCATAGGGGGGCCTCTCTGCCCATCACGTTAATAAAACCCCTGGTGGTATTTTTCTAATGAGACTTTATAGGACACACAGGGGAGGTCAGGAGGTGGGAGGGGGAGAAGCGCAGTGCCAGGAGGCCCCCATTTTCATTGTGCCCTGTTCCATCTAACTCTGTCACCCTGGAAAAATAACTTGTAAAACAAGAGGAAAATTGCAATTATAAGAAGTCTATAATTCTGTGATCCCCGCCCCCAAACCTCCTTACTCACTTTTTTTCATCACTCTATTGACTTCTGGTGAGAAAATGATTTTAAATATCACATGAACCCTTTCTTTTCATGAAAGTCAGGAATATACGAAAATCCAAGCAGTTGAGTCCTCACCAGGGGGAGTGGGCTCCCTCCCACACCTCCTAAGATCAGACTCTGCACCCAGCAACTCAGTAGTAATTTCCCACCCAAGCTTGGTGTGACTTTCCTTTGCTGCAGGCAACTGCCCAGAGGATTCCTCCATTACAATCTTTCTATGAATCATTCAGGGTAAATACCATATCTGTTTGCATCTGGGGAAATAAAAATATATTATAAAAGAGAAATGAAAACCTGAGATGTGTCTGAAAATAGCACCCAGATGCTTTGATTCCCCAGTTCACCTTTCTGACTATCCAGCTCTTCCTTGTCTTGCTTCATACAACAGAGGCAGCCTGGGACCCCCACCTTCAGATATCTCGGGTAAACGACCAAATTATCTTGGACTAAATGCAATGAGGCAGCCCAGCAGAACCCAGTTCCTAATTCTGACCCATTCTGATGAGCCTGTCCTAACTCCTTCCCCACTGCAGGTGCCCCTGCAGTCACATGCTTTTGTCAAATGATCTGCAGCTTCAGGCTGCTACCTCTGCAGAAAAGAAGAGGGGGAAAACAGAGAGAGTAAAAAAATACACACATACTCCTATATATATACATACATATCACAACCTCTGGCTTATAAAGCATAACCGCCTTTTTACCTTTCCCCAGAGTCCCCAGTGGTCAGCAGCACAGCCTCTCAGGCCAACCTCCCCCTCCTCCCACTTGGTCCAAGAGAAATGGTACTTGCTGAGGGGACCTGCTGATGTCTCACCCTGGATCAGAAATGCAAACGTATTTCTGAGCAACTGGGCAGGGAAGGAGACCGATGAAAAAGTTGAGTCAGTCTCTCTCTCTCTCTCAGTAGGGGGGCCCACCAATTGCTGAGCCTTTCCACCAGGCTCTCAGCTTCCTCTGCCTCTAACAAACTTTGTGACTCACAGTCTGTTCGCGGAGCGAGGCAGCTGAGCAGCCGAGCAGCCTCAGTGATGGGTTAAATTGGGAACGCACTCTTCTCCAAACACTGACCCCTCAAGTGCAGCCTGAGCCCCTACCTTGCAGTGGGGGTGGGAGGTGAGCACAGCTCCAATTATTTTGCTGGCACTAGAAGAGCTGCCAGAGACCTGGGTTTTCATGGACTTATGTCTACCGGGATCACACACACACGCACAGCCCTTGGTGGGCTGCAGGCTCAGGAATGCAGTCCATTCCTAGACTGGTCTAGGTCTCCAGTGCTCCATTCATCAGAGCTGCAATGTGGGACCCAACGCGCTCTCTCTTCTTCACCCACACTGCCTGCAAAACCAGAGGGAGTCCTAGCAAATGATCAAGCAGAGCCGTGCATCGTGAGGGTCTGGCTAACTGTTGCACGGCAGTTGAGGGGATGGCGGTGGAGGCGGGGAGAGGTCAGGGCTGTGCTGCACCCTCTCAGCAGCGTCTCCTCCCTTCATCACTGCGGAGGGAAAATCTGGAAGTTGGTGAACCTGGATCCCGCGGGGCGGCAGGGGCAGGCAGAGGCCGAGTCCATTCAGGCGGGCGAGACGAGACTCGGCCACTGGCTGCTCCCCGGGCCTCTGCGCCGCCGGCGCCGCCTCCCGCCTTCTCCGAGCCGCGCAGACGACCGGCCGCGGGCGTCTCCCTCAGCCCTGGACCGGCTTCCCACAGAAAACTCCCAGGCACAAACCGCTTTTGTTAATTCCGCAAATGCTGCCACACGACCACCTCCTCCAGCACTCCCGGTCTGCTCGGCTCCGGGAGACCCGCTTTCCCCTGAGCCTCCGCCCCCCGAAGGACCACCGCCCAGCACCGGCACGCGCCGGGCCTGGAGAGGACCCCAGGGTCCCCGGCCCGAGGCATCTTTGTCCTCGCAGCGCAGACGCGCGCGCACAGAGCGACCGCAACAGCCCCGCCGGGCACCAGGTCAGCGGCCTGGCCCCGCGCCAGGGCCGTGCAGGGGGACAATGGTCCGCGCCGGGGAAGTTTGCGGAGTCGCCCCCGCGGGCCCGGGCCCGGGCGCGGAGCCCTCCTTACCGTACATCTCGGCGGGGCGCGCGCCTCTCGAGAGGCCGGCGTCGCTGCGGCGTTCCCAGCCAGCCCTCGGCGGCGCCCGCCTTTCATTCACAGTCGGGGCGGGGACTGGCGGCGGCCGACAGGGGCCCGGGCGGGGAGGGAGCAGACGCGGGGGCCGGCCGCGGGCAGGACGGAGCCGGGCGCCGCCAGCCCATTCAGCGCCGGGCTGCAGCGGCCGCCTCCGCTCGGGTTGCTGGGCACTGCTGCGCGCAGGGGGCGGGGGCTATGCTAATACTAATGCTCCTCCCTCCCGGCTCGGCCAACCCGAGGCCTCTGCGAGCCCCTCGCCCCGCCCCGCCCCTGCGCCCCGCCCCCGAGAAACCCACAGCCGGAGATGCGCCTTTTCCGAGGCTGTCGCCCTAAGGGCCGCAGCGTGCACCTGCGGAGCTACCCACCCCAACTCCCTGCTCCTGTCGGAGCGCTCGGAAGCTCTCCCTAACCTGGGGTCCTCGAGGTCAGCCGGGGCGCTGAGAGCTGCAGGTGCACCCCTCCTCCAGTTCTGTCCAGGCTGCGTGGGCTAAGCCGGGGGGCGCAAGGATGGGAATTGGGGAATGACTTCCACCCTCTCCTGGCTAGGTACCTTAGCTGAGCGCCGTTCTCTGATGAAGCCCTCCAGCCCTCAGCTGCGCCCTACCAGCTACTCTCTGGCTAGGTGCCCAGCCACTCTCTGGCTAGGTGCTTGCTACCACCAAACAGCGTCCTTCCCGGGTCAGGGACGCAGGAAACGCACCCCACTCCCAACCCCCAAGGGCTGCAGGAAGTCCGCTTGCTTTTCCTCTCCCTGATTTATATGTGTAATTCGCAAGCTTTGCCGCCAGGATCCTCTCCAGCTGAGCCCCAGCGCCGACTTGAATTCCAGCTCTGCACCTGCCGTGACCCTATGAGGAACAGGCACAGAGAGGCAGCGGCTCATGCCTACGCCCACACCTGAAGATCTCTCCTAAGCTAGCTCAGGACTTCCCTGGGCTTCTCATCCAGCCTTCTTTACATTGCACACGTTCCCGTCTTTTTTTTTTTTTTTTTTTTTTTTTTTTTTTTTTTTGACATGGAGTCTCACTCTCGCCCAGGGTGGAGTACAGTGGCACTATCTCGGCTCCCTGCAAACTCCGCCTCCTGGGTTCAAGCGATTCTTCCACCTCAGCCTCCAGAGTAGCTGGGACTACAGGTGCGTGCCACCACGCCCGGCTAATTTTTGTATTTTTTGGTAGAGAAGGGATTTCACCATGTTGGCCAGGCTGGTCTGGAACTCCTGACCTCAAGTGATCCGCCCGCCTCGGCCTCCCAAAGTGCTGAGATTACAGGCCTGAGCCACTTCTCCTGCCCCTCCTGGCCTTTCAATATCGATTTCTTAGTTTCTCTTGGCCCATGGTTGAGAGTTGTTTGGGTTTTCTTTTGTTTTTTTCTACTGGTAGAAATATTCTACTAGTAGAAGTTAGAGAGGAAAGGAACTTAAAGATACTTAAGAACTGAACTTCATTTTACTTCATTTAACGTTGAGAGGTTAATTTATGTTGTTAGGCTGGGCTGTGTGTCTGTAGGCCAATGATCTACTCTCTCAACCCCAGCTTCCTGCAGGACTGTTGGGAAACTGGAATAAAATCTACATGAAATGACACAGTGGGCACTCATGTATATTTTTTCCTTCCTTCATGGCTCAAGGCAGGAACAGAGCCAGAGAAAGAATCCAGGTTGCCAGACTCTTGAAACAGTGCTCAGTCTGTTGCACTCAAAACTTATGTTTCCTATTTTTCTCTGGCCTGGGCCTCCACCTCCCGCCCGCGCCCCACTCTCTTGCTGTTTCCAGGTTTTCTTCTTCTTCCTTGACCTCTTTGACTCTCTTAGCAGCATGCCAGCCCCAAGGGAAACCCTGGGATGGTTCCTGGAACACACATTTAGTCTAGACCCCCCTACCCCGGGCACACACTCCCTGCATCTCACAAATAACCTCTGTCTCTGTTCTTCAGTTCCAGGACCAGGCCAGGTGGCTTTAAGATTGACTGAGAGTCAGACTTGAACTGGAGCAGGAAGGAGAATCTCAGCTCTAGCTTGATATGATCACCCAGAGACACTCCCTTCCCACAATTCTGCTCAACACAAAATATACTCATGAAACATTGGTGTCTACAGTACAGAAGGAAATGCAGTGTCTGTCTTCAAAGAATGAAAGGTCTAGCAGGGAATTCCAGATGAATACTGATAAAAACATTACTTGAGGCCAGACGTGGTGGCTCACACCTGTAATCCCAGCACTTTGGGAGGCCAAGGCAGGTGGATCACCTGTGATCAGGAGTTCAAGACCAGCCTGGCCAACATGGTGAAACCACATCTCTACTAAAAATACAAAAATTAGCCGGGCATGGTGGTGCATGCCTGTAGTCCCAGCTACTCGGGAGGCTGAGGCAGGAGAATCGCTTGAGCCTGGGAGGCGGAGATTTCAGTGAGCTGAGATTGTGCCTCTGCACTCCAGCCTGGGCGACAGAGTGAGACACTGTCTCAAAAAAAAAAAAAAAAAAAAAAAAAAAATTACTGGGCAGGAAAAAAACATAGTCAATTCTGCATGAGAAGTACAGACCTCTATTTAGAAAATTCACAAGGCTGATAGTTTAATTTGTTCTTTCTATCAGCTATTTACCAATCACTCCCTATGACATGCTAGACACTGTGGAAGGTACTTAGGAGCGGGGAGACATGTAAAAATTATCATAAAATCTTATAATGACTATGGAGGCACATACAAGGAGCAGGGAAGAGTTTCATGAAGGGAAAAAGAAAAAACAATTCAGGTGTGGGAGGAGGGGCACAGGGCTTCCAAGCCCTCCCCCAGGCACCACCCTCCAGGAACCTCGATGTGTTCAGTTATCCCAAAGCTCCCTGAACCCTGTCCGCTTGGGTTTTTATGAAAGCTTTATAACGTCAGCATTCCTTCCCCCGGGGTATAGGGTGGGAACCTCTCTGGGAATGGTCTTAAGAACAACCATTGGAAAGTCCAGGAAAGATTAGAGTCCTGCCTGGGGGCAGGTGAAAGGAGGGCAGGAGAAGGAGAGAGTCTGTTTCCTGTGGCCTAACACACTCAATATTACAACAAAAGACTGTAACAAGGGCTATGGGAGTTATGAGCCAGGAATCATGGAGGAAAACTGTCTATCATAACAACACAGCATTCAAGGTCCTTCCAACAGGGCCCCAGACTTCCTTTCCCACCTGGCTTCCACCTCCTGTTCCCTCCTCAACTGTGCTCCCACTAGATGGGCTTGCACACCACACTTACCATACTCTTTCCTCTACCATCTCTGACCTTTGTAAATTTCAGTCCCTCTGAACAACTTCAGCAAATTAATTGAACCCGAAGAGGGAGTCACGGGAACCCCAACTTGAAGCCAGTTGGTCAGAAGTTCTGGAGGTCTGGACTTACAACTGGTGTTGGGGGAACAGTCTTGGGGACTGAGCCCTCCAATGTGGGATCTGACACTACTTTTCAGTGTCAGACTGCATTAGAGGACACCCAGCTGCTTGGTGTGTGGGGAAACGCCCCCCCCCCACCCCGACATTTGGTCATAACTCTTCTGCGTTGATTGTTGTGATGTGAGAGTAAAGGAAAAACGCTGTTACAGAGTATTTTCCCCGTAAAACCGCCCAACCCAAAAGCCTTCCTGTCAGCTCTAGGGTTAGCAGACGAGCTTAGCCAACATGGCAAAACCCTATCTCTACTAAAAATACAAAAATTAGCCGGGCATGGTGGCAGGCGCCTGTAATCCCAGCTACCCAGGAGGCTGAGGCAGGAGAATCACTTGAACCCAGGAGACAGAGGTTGCAGTGAGCCGAGATCGCGCCACTGCACTCCAGCCTGGGCAACAGTGTGAGACTCTGTCTCAAAAAAATAAAAATACAAGATGCCCAATGTAATTTGAGTTTCAAATATATAAGGACTGATTTGTAATGTACGCCCCAGGCAGTAGGTGAGACATACTAAAAACATTTTTTGTTTGTTTTCTGAAACTCAGATTCCACCTAAGTTTTATCTGGCAACTGTAGTTAGCAACAGCCATTGGAGGGTGCTCCTGGATCCTCATGACTGAATCAGGCCTGGGGTAGGCTTCCCCACCCATGCTCCCAACCTGTATCACCAAACAGATCCCACTAGAATGTGGTTCCTAAGGAGATAGGGATAAGGCTGCTTTGGCCAGTCTGTCCCCTTTGGTATGGGTGCCTTGGCCAGAGGCCTTTGGCCCTGCAGATGCCAGCTTCTCCCATCTGTGTGTCACATGGCCTGTGAGAACCATGAAAAGAGGCTCCAATTCTCTGCTGTCCCCCAGGGGCTCAGCAGACAACATTGTTCTGCGGGCTGTATGCATTAAATGGCAAAGGAATCCGGCCCATACCCAGCTTCTCTGAGGTGCAGTCAAGGTGTTTAGACAAAATATGTGCAGGAAATGATGCTGTAGAGGTTGACCACGGTGGCATTATGTATATAAGGAAACTGAGCCTGGGAGAGAATGCAGTCTTCGGGCTCACAGTCTAGAACAGAAGGGCTGGCCAGGTATGGTGGCTCACACCTGTAATCCCAGCACTTTGGGAGGCCGAGGTGGGTAGATCACAAGGTCAGGAGTTCAAGACCAGCCTGGTGAATATGGTGAAACCCCATCTCTACTAAAAATACAAAAATTAGCTGGGCGTGGTGGCAGGCACCTGTAGTCTCAGCTACTTGGAAGGCTGAGGCAGGAGAATTGCTTGAAACTGGGAGGCGGAGGTTGCAGTGAGCCGAGATTGCGCCACTGCAATCCAGCCTGGGTGACAGAGCGAGACTCTGTCTCAAAAACAAAAACAAACCAAACAAAAAAACAAACAAACAAACAAAAACAAACAAACAGAAGGTGGGAACTCTAGGATCTCCCTCTCCAGAATAGTGCACCCATGAAGAGGTGCTGAACAGAAGTCAGCCATTTAGGTGAGCTATGAAAAGGAGGCAAAGTGAGAATTGGGATTCCTATCTTAAAAAGCTTCTTAACTTTAGCTGCAGAAATCCAAAACATGGGGACCGGTATGACAGGAAGGCAAGTAGAAAAGACATCACATTTACTGAGTGCCCTAATGTGATATGCCTATGCCAGGCACTTTACACGGGTTGTGTCGTCTCATGGAATTCTCTCAGCACCCGTGCAAGGTAAGTACTACTATTCCCATTTTACATCTGGGAAATTGAGGCCCAGAGAGGTTCGACTACTCTCTAGTACATGGGCAAGCAGAGATTCAAACCCAGGACACTCTGTTCAAAACCCATTTTCTTTCCACCACACTATGCTGTCTCGTGGCACACACCAATGTGCACATCACAGCTGCACTGTAAGTCAAGTATAGTTCGGAATTCTTGACCCGCATTTGCTCCTCTGCCTCACCTGTTTCATGTCCCCCTTCACTGGGTTTGGAGGGTAGGGATTGGAGAGGGCTGCAGGCTATCCATAACATACCTGGGCACTTAATTTCCACCCTGCTCCCCCAGGCCTCATCCATGGTGGGCCTCTCCCATGACCTTGACTGGAACCCAGGGGCCTCCTGGGACTGGTTTGGTCAGGCCAGAGGAACTAAGCCTTAGAAAGGTTACTATTCTTTGGCCAAAGTGCACCCTGGTAAATGTGGTCCTCTGCTATGACAGCTCAAATGATATCCTCTGCCAAGAGCAAGCAGCACAGTGAGGTCCCAAGTTTCCATATGAACTAGAGACTGAATTTCCCTGCGTGTCACAGAAAGGGAGGCTTAGAAGTGGGAGGAAATCTACAGCCATTGCATAAAACGCAGGAACCCCCACTCGCATTCCAGGCTTCAGCATCCCCGTCACATCCCCATCATCACATCACCAGGGCCTGTCCTGTAGTTACAGGAGTCTGGTTTCCTGGCACTCCAGCCTCACACAGCCCATCAGCTCAACTGTGTCTACAGAAAAGCCTCTTATCTCCTCCTCATCAGCTACAACAACTGCAGCCCCTCTTGCCTAGGGCGCCAGCCTTGAGCAGCCAACGGCTTTAAAGCACCTCCCAGAGGGAGGGAAGAGGGAAGAATATGACAGTCCAGGGAATATAGCTTCAGGGAAAAAAAAAAAAATTGTGGGACCTAGAGAAGGGCTCAGGGAGACCCAGAGGGGAGAATGAGCTCCTAACGACTGTCACACAGCGGATTAGCTGTGAAGCCAAAAATAGAACCCAGGATTCCTGCCTCCAGGCTGGGTGACTTGAACCCCTGGCACTTCTCCCTTAAAGCGAGTTAACCTACTTGACCTACTTCTCTGAAGCTACAGGGAAGAGCAGCCTGTGAAAACAATGCCCAAGTAGAGGAGTGGGTGGGTATCCAAGGCTGAAGGCTGCATCTCCGCAACACGGCAAACAGCTCAGAAGCCTGGGCAGCATGATGTGCTTCATTCACCAAGGTGGCAGGGAGTTGCCTTGGGCTGTAGGAGGGACATGAATCGGGGTGGGGAGAGCTGCCTGCTCCCAGGAGATGGGGCCTGGGCACCTGGGATGGAGAAGGCTGCCGCGGGACAGGTTTCGCAACTAGATTTTACCACGGTGTGAGCAGTGTTTGAGGTATTTGCGGTTGACATGTTGAGGTTTAAAAGCACCAAGCAGGCTCTCCCAGCTGCATCCACTTCATGGCCTTGAATTGATCCTGCGTTCACCCTCTAGAGAGGGGCCAAGTCACCTTCTTCAGCTGCCAGCCCCTATGGTCCCTGGAGAGAAGTCTCCCTTCTTACCCGAAGCTCAAATCCATGTCCACTTGCTTCTGGTCAAAAGCTCAAGCACTGCCATGCCCATGACCCAGACTCTAGTCTAGACCAAGGAAATTCTGCCTCTTCACTCTCTCCTTGCTGCCAGCAGTAGGAGGCACCTGTCGGGGCCACCCATTACCTCCCATCTCCATCCTGGGTGATACTTGCTCTCACTGCAAAGCCCAAGCCCACCCACACTCTGAAGGACGTGAAGGTCCATGGCGTTGCTTCCATCTCTTCTTCCTGCTGATCTGCATGACATGGAAGAGAAAAGAAGAGATAGGAAATGAATAGCTGGTCACATAGGTGATCTTAAAAAGTCAGATATGGCTTTCCTGGCCATAGCTGAGGAAACCTGCATCTCACCACAGCCAAGGAACAGGCTTGCCCAGAAACTGGCCAACCCGATCAAAGAATGGTTTAAACAAAATGAAAGGAGAGGGAGAAAAATGCCTCCAGGGCCAGGCGTGGTGGCTCATGCCTGTAATCCCAGCTCTTTGGGAGACCAAGACAGGAGGATTGTGTGAGCCCAGCAGTTCGTGACCAGCCCTGGCAATACGGTGAGACCCTGTCTCTGGAAAAAAAAAAAAAAAAAGAAATTAAAAATAAAAAAGATTAACCAAGCATGGTGGCATGTGCCTGTAGTCCCAGCTATTGGGGAGGCTGAGGTTAGGGGAATCACTTGAGCCTGGGAGGTTGAGGCTGCAGTGAGTCATGGTTGTGCCACTGTACTTCAGCCTGGGCAACAGAGTAAAACCCTGTGTCAAAAAACTAAATATATAAAAAGAAAAATGCCTCCAGGAAATTGTAAACCTGGCTAACAGAAGAATACAAAAAGAACATGTGAGATGCTGAACCCCTAAGACCTGAAAATTGGTACTGGTGTAGGAAGAGCCCCAGCTCTGCGATAGGGCCAGATGCAACCTCTCCAGGGAAGTTACTCTCGCCCACCTAAGCCAAACCCTGCCCTCCAGGCCTTGTAGAGCCACTGCCTCATATGGGCTTTGGACCCTGAAATCACCCCTCTTTCCCAATAAAGCATGCTGCTTTTTACATTCACCCGAGCCCCCTCAGGGTTTGGCAGCTCTGCAGTTAAGGATCCCTGGCCATGCCCACTTTCCATTTTCTGGACTCTTCTTGGCCACAGGACTCCTCTATGATACTCAGCCCCAATCCTCAGCTTCCAAATCTCTAGCCCAACCCTCACTTTTCTGGCTCAAGGATGACAGCTGACTTCAGTCTCATGACGATGGCCCAAGGAAGAGGATGTTCAGCAATTCTCAGTGAACATGATGGAGAAGCTCAGACGTCTACACGCCAACATGCACATGGCAGACAAAGTTGAGTTGAAGTTTGAGTCTATATCTGATGTCTGGTAGGTTAGGACTCGCTCATGTTCTCAATTATGGCACATGTGTTTATTGAGAGCCTACTACAAGCCTACTACTACATACAAGACACGGTGGGGAAAGAATAAAAAGTCCCTGCCATCCAGAAAACTCACAGTTCAGTTGAGAAGGCAAGTCAGGACAGAGAGATGTCTCAGAGAGAGAGAAAAATGGAGTCCTGGCAGAAGCCTAGGAGAGAGGCTCCACCTGGGTGGACTGGGAGGGAGTTAGGGAAGGAGATAGACATGGAGAAAGAACCTAACTTGAGCAAAAGCAGGTGTTGGAAAGTCACGGCTATGTATAAAGAAAAGCAAATGGCACATTTGATAGGAACATATGCTAACTGAAGGGATACAGGGAGAGATGCAGTAAGAAATGCGGGCTTTGGTCCAGTCACAGAAGGCCTTGAGTACCTAAGGACTTTGGCCTCTATTCAGTGAGGAAGATTCTGCTGGAAGCTACGGGGTATCAACAGTGTGAGATGCTGCTAATAGGTGGAGGAAGGAGCAGAAAGGGCTGATGGATGTGGAGCTAGGAGGTCACTGGTGATCGAACATATTTCCTCCCTGACTCATGACCACCTCTTTCGGAAAGGCGGTTCCTGGCATTGGGGGCATTGAAGATGCACAGCAGGGTTATACCAAGGTTGAACCAAGTCTCTTCCTGTTTCCCAGGAAAGAATGGGAAGGGCTTATAAAATTCATCTGCATCCCCATGCGTTCTCTTTCTCCTTCCCTTAGGAAGTGGCCCTTAGGATGTCAAGACATGGGCCGTGCAAGCCTCCTACCTGGGAGGCTTCTTTGGCTTTAAAGGGCTCCGTTGGGCCAAGGGGACAGGAGACAATAAGCTGGCTCCTTACGGCTGACTCTGGCTCTCAGCTGCATTGGCAAGGGGGAAATGGGTCCATACTGGTTTCCACATTGCCTAGCTTGGCATACTGGGTTTCCCACCCAGAGACTGGAGACAGAGATGCCTTGATCAGGAATCAAGACAAGGACTTCGTCAGCAATGTGCCATGTCACCTCTCAGGAATCTAAGAGTGGCAGGAGGCAGCTGGACAAGATACAAGGCCAGCCAAGAGAAGGGAGAACTCAAATGGTGACCTTCAGGTTTCAGGGCGATGAGAGGGAGAGGGAAGAAGCAAGGAATGAGTAGTTGCCAAGCTCCTGCTAGGTGTTAGGCACTGCACCTAGCCCAGTACCCCATGCCTGGCACGTAGGAGGGGCTCAACACATACTTATTGAAGGAAGCATCTTTCTCCCTCTGAGCCTCACAACAACCCTGTGAACTAGATTGGAATTAGGAAACGCATTTTTAAAAGAGCCATTCCCAGAGTCACACAATGAATGGTAGAAGCGGCCGGGCATGGTGGTTCACACCTGTAATCCCAGCACTTTGGGAGGCCAAGGCGAGTGGATCACCTGAGGTCAGGAGTTCAAGACCAGCCTGGCCAACCTGGTGAAAACCCGTCTCTACTAAAAATACAAAAATTAGTTGGGCATGGTGGTGGGCGCCTGTAATCCCAGCTACTTGGGAGGCTGAGCCAGGGGAATCACTTGAACCCGGGAGGCGGAAGTTGCAGTGAGCTGAGATCGTGCCATTGCACTCCAGCCTGGGCAACAGAGCGAGACTTCATCTCAACAACAACAGCAACAACAACAACAAAAAGAATAAATGATACAAGCAGGATTCCAGCCTAGGTCTGCCTATTTCTAAGCTCTGTTCTCTTTCTTCTGTTTCTCACCAGATTGCAAGTAGCTAAGCTGCAGGTTTGTGATGTGGCAACAGATGAAGTAGCAGATGAGTCTGGCCAATGTCACTCTTCTAGGAAGCTCGCTGGGGAACTGAAGGAGGTGATTCACAGAGGGCTTCCCTTCAGCTTGCACCAAGCAGCCCCTGGGGAGCTTGCTGCAAGGCAGATTCTTGAGCTCCACTCCAGACCCATGGAAGAAGCCTGGGTTCCACAGGTAGAGGGAACTGGTGGACATGGCTGCAAGGAGTTGAGAGCAGGCAGCGTAAGAGACCCAGGTCATAGAGCAACGAGGAGGCTGTCACAGGATAAAGAAGGGGAGTTTCCTTTAGTGGTGGTGGTAAGGGGACACCGCTAAGGGGAAACAGAAATGCGTGCAACATGAGACTCTAGAAAAGGAGCTGGTTTTGTAATAAAGAGATGAGAACTAGCAGCACAACTGAATATAATGCTGGGTGTGTGTAAGGGCAAAGTAATTCACAACTTCAATTGACACAGTAACTGTCAGTGAGAGAAGCCAATGGTGGAGGTAACTATTCACAATGGGAGTCCCAGGCATTGGGGAATACAAGGGACAGAGTGTGTGGGTGTTGTCACACTTTCAGAGGACGGTATTAACATTCTCGGGCTCTGCCCTTATCTACTATGTTGTACTCACTCTTTTTTGTTTTGTTGTGTTTTTTTGAGACAGGGTCTTGCTCTGTAACCTAGGCTGGAGTCCAGTGGCACAATCTTGTCTCACTGCAACCTCTACCTCCCAGATTCAAGCGATTCTTATGCCTCAGCCTCCCGAGTAGCTGGGACTACAGACACACGCCACCACTCCCAGCTAATCTTATTTTTTACTTTGTAGACATGGGGTCTCACTATGTTGCCCAGGCTGGTCTTGAACTCCTGGGCTTAAGTGATCCTCCTGCCTTGGCCTCCCAAAGTGCAAGGATTATAGGTTTGAGCCACTGTGCTGGACCCGTACTCACCCTAAAAGAAGATGTGTATGAAAATAATGCAGATGGTCAGACTGAAGCCTGGGAAAGGAGTGCTCAGGGAGCCTGACTTTGGCAGTGGACCTGAAGCAAACGACTCTCTGGGGGACAGGCATCCCTGACCAGCAAACCCAGATATTTCAGGCCCATTGGCAGGTATGTTCCCATAGGGAAGATGGATGAATCCGATGATCAAGCTTAATGACTTTAGATAAACCTGCTGATTCCCTTTGTTCTTTTCCCTGGTTCGCCACGATCTTCTGGTTATATTTTAGCTTATCTATGTGGCTGGCAAATCAGCCAATTTGAACATTTAAGTCCTCTATGTGCTTACATTTCTAACTGTACATGCGCACTCTGGAAACATCCATTTCTTGTGAATCTGCTTAGTATGATATATCCCCAAGAGTGTAGTCACATCTGTCCATTGCTGACTTTACTGAGGCCTACCCCCTGAGGATGTCCTGCCTTTCAAATATTCAACTCTGTTTCCTCTACTTCCTGTTTCTCTCTCTGTAGAGAAGCAATAATTGCAAAAAGGGATCTTGATGAGATATGAGTGTGAGTCAACTCAAAGCAAATCACACGAGGGATTCCTTACTTGCCTTATGATTTAAACTCTTCAAAAAGTAGAAG
The DNA here is from genome assembly GCF_000001405.40 of Homo sapiens. Taxonomy (NCBI): domain Eukaryota; kingdom Metazoa; phylum Chordata; class Mammalia; order Primates; family Hominidae; genus Homo; species Homo sapiens. The sequence goes on along the minus strand of NC_000002.12, from coordinate 25,030,766 downwards.
AAACAAAGGAATGCAGTCTTTTTTTTTTTTTTTTTTTTTTTTGGAGATGGAGTCTTGCTCTGTTGCCCAAGCTGGAATGCAATGGCATGATCTCGGCTCACTGCAACCTCCATCTCCCAGATTCAAGCAATTCTCCTGCCTCAGCCTCTCTAGCAGCTGGGATTACATGCGTGCGCCACCACACTCAGCTAATTTTTGTTTTTAGTACAGACAGGGTTTCACCATGTTGGTCAGGCTGGTCTTAAACTCCTGACCTCAGGTGATCCAACCGCCTTGGCCTCCCAAAGTGCTAGGATTACAGGCGTAAGCCACCACGCCCAGCCTACAATTCTTTTCTTTTTAAAGTAGATACATAAAAGTATTTAGCATACTAAGGAAGGAAACACAGGTAAAATGGACTCAGTAGCAGGAATTTCCCTGTAGTTGTGTTAACGCAGAGCTTCTATTTTGCTTAATCCCATTGGACAAACATTAAGGTAGTTTGGGAAGGAAGTTGACTGGCAGAGTAGGTAATCATCTGTTCATCTGATTAACTGGGTTCATTCTATGGGTCATTTCACTTTTTCTTTTCTTTTCTTTTTTTGTTTTTTGTTTTTGGAAGCAGAGTCACTCTGTTGCCCAGGCTGGAGTGCAGTGGCATGATCTTGGCTCACTGCAACCTCCGCAGCTCAGGTCAAGTGATTCTCCTGCCCCAGCCTCCCAAGTAGCTGGGATTATAGATGAGAGCCATCACATTCGGCTAATTTTTGCATTTTTAGTAGCGATGCGGTTTCACCATGTTGGCCAGGCTGTTCTCTATCTCCTGACCTCAGGTCATCTGCCCACCTCAGCCTCCCAAAGTGCTGGGATTACAGGCGTGAGCCACTGTGCCTGGCCCATTTCACTTTCTTCTTCCCCAAACGACTTGCTCCAAAATGACAACATCATTTCTGACCAACAGGTCATTAAAAGTACTTCTTTCCCAAAACTATTCTGCAGTCTTGTTCCAAGTCCCTTGTTATACAACCAAAACACCAGACACTACCAGACACTCATTGTAAACTCTTACCTCAAGTTATCAATTCTTCAAGACAAAATGGACAGTGAGGTATGCTACATGTTCTGCCTACTGAGAGGATGTCCTTTCTCTCATGTCCTTTAGAAAAAATCCGAGTGGGGTTGTTAATAGATGCGGCTGGTAGGCTGCTCCACATGAGACCACAAGATGTGGGCTGAGGAAGGGGCAGCAATGTGGCAGGAGTTGACGTACTAGACATGTGAACAAATTCTCTTTTATTGTGCCTCCAGGACCTACTTGAACCTGTTCTCACTGCTTTCTAGTAAGATGCTAACCACACCCAACTTTATGGCACTGTGGCTCAAATATTACCAAATTCACAATGGATGACTCAAGATCTCACTGTGACCGATGTTCCATGGGCAACATTCTGTCTTTTTCAAGGCTCAGTAGCAGGCCAAGAGTATCTCTTACAAAGGTAACAGCTGCTTACTGAAGAGGTCACGGATTGACGCAAAACAATAAAGGTCTCCACAGTGATTCTCTTGATCAGGCTTGCCACAAGCTACATGCTGCAACCCAATTTGCCATTGATAACTCAAGCACCATTTGGATCCACTGGGTTGTTAAGGTCAAGTGGCCGAATCACACATGCTGCAACTTGGAGAATATTTTCTTTCTCTGGCCCCTGCTGAAAACTGGGAAGCCTTTCAAGTCACTTGGTAAATGGATTGGAGACGCACACCAAACTGTGGTATGTGTTAGCTAGACAGTCTAAAAAGGGCCGGGCCAGGCGCGGTGGCTCACACCTGTAATCCCAACAGTTTAGGAGGCCAAACGGTGGATCATTTCAGGTCAGGAGTTTGAGACCAGCCTGGTCAACATAGTGAAACCCCATCTCTACTAAAAATACAAAAATTAGCTGAGTGGTAGTGGTATGCACCTGTAATCCCAGCTACTTGGGAGGCTGAGGCAGAAGAATTGCTTGAGCCTGGGAGGCGGGGGTTGCAGTGAGCTGAGATTGTGCCACTGCATCCCAGTCTGGGCAAGAGAGTTCAAAAATAAATAAATAAATAAATAAATAAATAAATAAATAAATAAATAAATAAGGCGGGACTCCATGACTCACGCCAGTAATCCCAGCTCTTTGGCAGGTCAAGGCAGGAGGATTGCTTGCGTCCAGTTCGAGACCAGCCTGGGCAACATGGTGAAACCCTGCCTCTACAAAAAAATACAAAAATTAGCCAGGCATGGTGGCATGTGTGCCTGTTCCAGCTACTTGGGAGGTGAGGTGGGAGAATTGCCTGAGCCTGGGAGGTTAAGGCTGCAGTGAGCCGAGATCACACCACTGCACTCCAGACTGGGTGACAGAGGGAGACCTTGTCTCGGGAAAGAAAAAAAAAAAGTCTAAAAAGGCCAGCAAAGCAGCAAAGCTGGTGCCTCTTTTTTTTTTTTTTTTGGAGACAGAGTTTTGCTCTGTTGCCCAGGCTGGAGTGCAGTGGCGTGATCTTGGCTGCAACCTCTGCCTTCCAGGTTCAAGCAATTCTCCCTGACTCAGCCTCCCGAGTAGCTGGGATTACAGGCACGTGCCACCATGCCCGGCTGAATTTTTTTTGTATTCTAGTAGAGACAGGGTTTTACCATGTTGGCCAGGCTGGTCTCGAACACCTGACCCCAGGTAATCCACTCACCTCAGCCTCCCAAAGTGCTAGGATTACGGGCGTGAGCCACTGCACCTGGCCACTTATGCCTCTTTCTTAGTGATGAGAGTAAAAGGTGCTAAACCTAGTCTTCATTTTGTATGGGCTATTCTGATGGGAGTTAGATCCCCCACCAACCTCTAGAAACGTCACTGAGGTGACAGACTCCTGCGTTGTCTTTTTTTTTGAGACAGTCTTGCTTTGTTGCCCAGGCTGGAGTGCAATGGCGTGATCTCAGCTCACTGCAACCTCCGCCTCCCAGGTTCAAGTGATTCTCCTGCCTCACCTTCCTGAGTAGCTGGGATTACAGGCACCTGCCACCACACCCAGCTAATTTTTGTATTTTTGGTAGAGACGGGGTTTCACCATGTTGGCCAGGCTGGTCTCAAACTCCTGACCTCAGATGATCCACCCGCCTCAGCCTCCCAAAGTGCTGGGCTTATAGGCGTGAGCCACAGCGCCTGGCCAACTCCTGCATCTTCTTAGAATCTCTCTCCTTCCCATCCTCCTTCCCTTACTCTGGTATGTGTTTTATCAAGGTACTTTGGGTACCTGGTACTTCCAGGTCTTCAGATCCTATCATCATGGTGTTATCAGTATTGTAGACTATCACGATGTCCAATGGGATAAAAAGACAATCAGTGTCCTGTGAATTTCATTGTCATCCAGAGACAGATGATAATGTTGAGGAAGATGGTGTGTTGCTCTAGCATTTCTCTTCCAGGTGGGAACAACCCTTTTCCTGGTGTTTTCTAACTCCTGGGATAGAGAACAAAGGCATTAAGGATCATTGCAGTCTTTCAGGTACCACCGGCTACATTAGGAGACCCCATCTGGAACAGCAGATACAAGAGCACTGAGGACCCATGTGGTTTTTCAAGATCCAGCCAGTTTCTGTACTAGCCAAACTAAATAGTTAATGGAAATATAATATAACTCTGCACCTTGCGCCTAATGAGATCCTGGTGATGATTTCCCTGGGGATGTAGTGTTGTTTTGACTGATTTTGGATAGGCAGGGGGAAGTGCAGGTACTTCCAGATGACCCTGTTTACCTATAGGCCTTATTCCACAGGTCAGGAGGCCATTTCTGTGATTCTGAGGATGTCTAGTGGCTAATCACTTGTTTTGGTACTGATGACCTATGTTAAAAAAGCCTTGAAGGGGATGGGCATGCTGGTTCACACCTGTAATCCCAGCACTTTGGGAGACTGAGGTGGGCAGATTCCTTGAGCCCAGGAGCTTGAGACAGCCTGGGCAACAGGCCAAAGCCCCATCTCCACCAAAAAGTATGAAAATTAGCCAGGCATGGTGGCTTGAGCCTGTAGTCCCAGCTACTCTCTGGAGGCTGAGGTAAGAGGATTGCTTGAGCCTGGGAGGTGGAAGCTGCAGTGAGCCATGACTGTGCCACTGTACTACAGCCTGGGTGACAGAGCAAGATTCTGTCTCAAAAACCAACCAACCAACCAACCAACAAACCAACCAACCAACCAACCAAAAATAAAAAATAAAAAAAATACACGAAAAACCAAAAACAAAGAGCTTGAAGGCCTGAAGCTTCTGGTCATCATGCTGGCCTTGATGCCTAAGATGAAAGTCACGTCCCCACACCACTGGCAGTTAAGTGCCACCATTTGGCCTCTGCTGACTGGGGATCTGTCCATTGCCGTTAAAATAAGGGAAGCCATGGCAGCTGCAGCTTCTCCCATAGGCATTCCTGGCCTACTTAGACAGTCACTAAACATTCTCAAAGATGCGGGTATTTTCTTTACTGGCTTTCTGGGCCACCTTGGGGACATAAAAAGAGGACATGTGAATGCCCTCCAGTATTTCTGTCTTCCAGCGTTTCTGAATTCCTTCCTCGCGACACCACTGTGCACCTCCGCTTCATTTGGCATTGTCCTTCATAGTGACTAGGTTTCAGGCAGGCAACCAACCAAGAAAATATTTAGAAACATTTCCAGCTACTTGAGTCAATTTGCTAAATCTGAATTTCTAGAAAGCATACCTGCATTGATAAATTCAGCCGGAATCTAAAATTTCGTTTTTTCCTCCTCAGAAAATCCATTCCTATGTCTGTTCCTCCACATTACTGTAAATTAGCAAATCTTGGGGGTGTGTGTGTGCGTGTGTGTGTGTGTGTGTGTGTGTCTTGTCCAGTGTGTGCTAATCATTAACTCTCTGGTTGTATTTTATAATTGGCCCTCCTGGACATGCTGGTACCTAATTCTAGTTATATGTTTGGAGATAATGAGGAGTCAGGGGAGTAGAACAGGAAAATAATTGGCTTTCTTTTGCAAGATAACTCTCTTAGGTGCATCTTCATGTACAGCAACAATAGCCTCATTACATATAGGCGCAGGCTCTGTTTTGGCTGGTGATGAAGGCTTAGTGTGGCTTGGGGGTACAGAGTTCCCTGAGTTTTTCAGACATTATCATGTTTTCTCATTCCAGTTCTTGAGCGGAAACGCGGTCCTGATCAATGCTCTTTCACATACGGGTCCTAGTGAGGCTAAAAATTCAGCTGACTTTGTAATTTTGGTAATTCCTGGAGTTTGGCTTTCAGTTACCTCTGTCCTATGGCTGTGAGAAATGAGATCCATTTTAGTATGGACTTAGAAAGTGTGTGTGTGTCAATCTGTGTTATGATCTGAGAATTTAAGGAGCTGAGCTTGTCATCTATTTTTGTTGAAGCAGACTAGAGCCAAGAAAAGAAATGAACACCACTCTCAAGTTCTTGAATTTCTTTTGACTTTCCTATAGTTTGCAGGGGCAAATAATTGCTTTAATAAGTAGTGATCTGGAAAATATTTATCTTTTAATTTTTTTCTGCCACTATACAATATCAAGCACATATTATCCCTACATACTAACAGAATTTTTACTGCTCTCAGTCCTAAGTAACTAGGTAGACAGCTCAGATTCCTTCCCTCATCAATTTCTCCAGGGTTCTGTCATCTGCAACCATCTCCTTGTACCAATTTCTCTGTACCAGTCAAGGTTCTTTGTCCAGATATCAGAAACTGACTCTTGCTAACTTCCGCAGAAAAGAAATTTGCTGGAATGGTGTAAGACAGTTCACAGAATCAAGGGGAAGTCCACAACACCAAGATGAAAACCCAGCCAGAGGCCGGGCCGCGGTGGCTCACGCCTGTAATCCCAGCACTTTGGGAGGCCAAGGCGGGCAGATCACCTGAGATCAAGAGTTCAAGACCAGCCTGACCAACGTGGTGAAACCAGTCTCTACTAAAAATACAAAAATTAGTTGGGTGTGGTGGCAGGGGGCTATAATCCCAGCTACTTGGGAGGCTGAGGCAGGAGAATCACTTGAACCCAGAGGGTGGAGGTTGCAGTGAGCCGAGATCGCGCCATTGCACTCCAGCCTGGGCAACAGAGTGAAACTCCTTCTCGAAAAAACAAAACAAAACAAAAAACCCCATCCAGGGACAAAGAGAGGTTGGGCAGCCAAATTCTATCAAGGTCCTGCCACCAGAATAGGGCCACCATGGCTGGAACTGCCACCAGTGGCTACTTGGTGCTTCCACTCTAGGTATCACTGGTAAAGGATGCCCACTCCCACACTTCTCTACTCTCCACTCCTCTACCACTGCAGTGAAAAAACTCCCACCTTCTGTGTCTTTACATCATTCCCCCATCATTCAAAATCCTGATTCACTGAGCCTAGATCACATGCTCTCTTGCTAGAGGACAAGAGAGAGAATTTCTACCTCTTTGGTTTTCACAGTGGAGCCCTTTCTCCACATATGTTTGGATTCCCCCAGATAAGAAGGGCGTTTAGATGCTAGGCAGTCCCACTTCTCCCAGAAAAAATTAGTACAGTCTTCAAACTAAAAAGATTTAGGACAAACGTTGCAAAAAGAGGATGAAAGCCTACAGTAGGTGAAGTAATTTATTTAAAGTAATTATTTTAATAAATACCTCATGTCTAGACACATTTATTTATAAGATGCTAAGGGGACTTGGAAAAGGGATTGCAAAGTAACTATCAATACGCTTTAAAATTTCATGAGAAATTAGAAAGGAATTGCAATTGGGTAGGAAAATAGTGGGTTCTGCTAATCACCAGCTTGGTGTTGAATATTGACAATTAATAGGATCACCTGGTTAAACAGTGTTGCTTGTTGTGAACACCCAGAAAATAATTAAGTGAATACTTGGAGCCACAATGAATTTATTAAGGACAAATCATTGTAACCGTCTTTATTTCCTTTTTGATTTGACTAATAGATTTGTAGACTACTGGTAGACAACAAACAAATGTTATAGGACTGTGTCTTTATAAAGTTAAAAATACTCATATTTATATTTAGTATAAAAATAAAACGTGGTAACTCCAGAAAAGGTAGAGATTTCTACTGAAATAATGAACCCAAACTTCTCACTAAAAAACACTAAAATTATATGAAAGGAATAAGAAAGATAAAAATCCGCAGATAAAGAGATTAGGAGAGGAAACGACAGGACCAGCAATGACAACGCATTTTTGGAAGGTGGAAAATAAATGGATGAGTGGTAACTGACTTGGCAGAACAGAGAAAGCTGGAAGCAAGTGACTCCAAAAGGAGATGCCAACGAAGGAAGACAATTTGGGCAACAGAACGCCAGGAAGTCTCAGGAATCTGAAGCACCGAGGACCTCAGAAGCAAGGAGTGGAGTTGAAAACAGGAGAATTGGGTACAAGCCCTGCTCATGTACATTTCTGGTAATCATTTTACTGGGTTGCTTTTAAATAGAAACTGACAGCCAAAAATCATCAGACATTTGGGAAAAGCTTCTAACATGAAAGACAGGACAAACATTAATATTTGTAGGAAATAACAACAAACATTAAGATTTATAGGAAATAACAAGTCAATACATTTAACATCACCAGAGAGGGAAGAGGAGACACTCCATTCTCAAAAGATGACGTCTACTTTACACTGCATTTGTAGAGCTCTGGGAGTTTATTGCACAGGTAAGAGCCAAATGGACAGACCACCCACGTGCAAGAGCACTCTGGTTTTTTCTTGTTTTTCTGTTTGGGTTTTTGTTTGTATGTTTTTGTTTTGTTTTGTTTTGTTTGTTTTCTGAAGACGGAGTTTTACTCTGTCACCCAGGCTAGAGTGGCATGATCTCGGCTCACTGCAACGTCTGCCTCCTGGGTTCAAGTAATTCTCCTGCCTCAGCCTCCCGAGTAGCTGGGACTACAGGCGCATGCCACCATGCCCGGCTAATTTTTGTCTTTTTAGTAGTGACAGGGTTTCAGCATGTTGGCCAAGCTGGTCTCGAACTCCTGACCTCGTGATCTGCCCACCTCGACCTCCCAAAGGGCTGGGATTACAGGCATGAGCCACTGCGCCTGGCCTGTATGATTATTTTTCGAGTCAGGGTCTCACTCTGTCACCCAGGCTGGAGTGCAATGGCATGATCTTGGCTCAGTGCAACCTCTGCCTCCCGGGCTCAAGTGATCCTTACACCTCATCCTCCCGAGTAGCTGGGACTACAGGCATGTGCCCCCACACCTAGCTAATTTTTGTTTGTATTTTTTTTTTTTGTAGATATGAGGTCTCACTGTGTTGCCCAGGCAATCCACCTACCTCAGTCTCAAGCAATCCACCTGCCTCAGTCCCCCAAAATGCTGAGATTATAGATGTGAGCCATTGCACTCAGCCTGCAGTCTGTTTTATATATTGGGATTTTAAAAACAGTTCTAAAATATTTTAAGGGACTTGACTGAACCAATTAAAGTTTTTTATCATAAGCAACAGAAACTAACACTGGACAATTTAAGCAAAATGCCATTCATTGGGAGTTATGGGGAGTTCACCACATCAAAGGAAAAGATAGAAAATCAGAATTAGAAAGAGCAGGAACCGGGGCAGCTCTGGGCTTCTGGCAGCAGGAATTAATAGCCAGTTGGATCACGGCACAATGCTGTGACACATCAGTTCCAATTTTTCTTAGTCCTTAAAGTCCTTGAAGAGACAGTTCAATGTCCTAGCTTGGGGCAGCTATCCTCCCTCTGGTTAGGGAAGCAAGAGTTGCTTTATTAGACAGTTTCACTAAAAGTAACCCAGTGGGAAAGGGAAATTCCCTCCACCCAAAGAAAGTCAGAGTGATATTACCAGAAGAGGGAAGGAAAACTAGGGAGTGAAATCCCAAATAGCCACACTATCTATGGTTAAAAATAAGTTTAGGCCACATGAATGTGCAGAATTTTAATTTTTTTGTAATGCAAAAGCTGTCCACTAAAAATATGTACAAACATGGATGCAATCAATCTCTTCTTGTTGGACATTTAGGTTGTTTTCTGTTTTTTGCTATTATAAACAAACACCCTTAGAGCCCATATTTTGCAGACATCTCTAAGAAATGGTAATTTGGGACCTTTATCATGACATCCTTATTGACAGAGATGAGGAATTACAGGCTGAAAGATTGCATGTGAAGAACGTTGCTGGACTGTTGACTGCTGTTGACTTGAAGAGGCTTTGCTAGAGTTACCATGATTTTGCCCTTGGCCTCCTTCCGTTCAGCAACTTTATGGATGAGTTAGGCCGGGTGCGGTGGTTCACACCTGTAATCCCAGCATTTTGGGAGGCCAAAGCAGGCAGATCATTTGAGGTGAGGAGTTCAAGACCAGCCTGGCCAACATCGTAAAGCCCCGTCTCTACTAAAAATACAAAAATTAGCCGGGCTTGGTGGTGGGTGTCTGTAATCCTAGCTACTTGGGAGGCTGAGGCAGGAGAATCACTTGAACCCGGGAGGTGGAGGTTCCAGTGAGCCGAGATCACACCACTGCACTCTAGCCTGGGCCACAAAGGGAGACTCCATCTTAAAAAGCAAAATTAAAATATTTTTAAAAATTGATTACCCTGATACAGGAAGGATAAGTGCTATTTGGACAGAGATTCACACTAAAAGGTCTGAGGGGTTTATTAAATGCAAGGTTGATATGACTCCACAGTATGATAAGGCTGCTTATGAAAAAAAAGCCAGTATAAATTTAGCCTGCATTAAAAGAAGTAAAATTTCTAGATCTAGGGCAGTGCTAGGACCCTGTACCTTTTGTCCCAGTCAGACAAAATAGTTTTGGGTTTAATTTTGACCAGTTACACTTAAAAAAAAATTAACAAACTGGAGTGCATATAGAGAAAGGTATCTGGAAGCTATAATGATAATATACTGAGTGCTTACTATGTGCCAGGCACCATGCTGAAAACACTCTAAAAACACCTATGAAGGGCCAGGCACAGTGGCTCACACCTGTAATCCCAGCACTCTGGGGGGCCAAGGTGGGTGGATCAACCAGGGTCAGGAATTCAAGACCAGCCTGGCCAACATGGAAAAACCCTGTCTCTACTGAAAATACAAAAATTAGCTGGGTGTGGTGGTGCATGCCTGTAATCCCAGCTACTCAGGAGGCTGAGGCAGGAGAATCTCTTGAATCCAGGAGGCAGAGATTGCAGTGAGCTGAGATCGCGCCACTGCACTCCAGCCAGTGTGACAGATCAACACTCTGTCTCAAAAAAAAAAAAAAAAAATATATATATATATATATATATATGAAGCAAGCATTATCTTATACCAATTTTACAGATAGGGAACTTGAGTCGTGGGAAGCTAAATCACTTGCTAAGGTCTAAGTAGGAAAGCTGAGATTTGAACCCTGGAGTCCAGTCCTACCGACTATGTGGTCAACCACTACGCGACATTGCTTATCTGAGTAATACAAAGCCAAACAGGTGACTTCACCACCTAAGTGTGATTTGAGGGACTCTGAAAGGATCCTCTACAGAGAAATATCTCACTGGCTAGCTGGATCATACAAACAGGCCAATTATGCATTTGGCTTTATATAGTTCATTCATATCTAGATGCCTAAATACTCTTCTAATTGAAAGTCAGTCCAGGCGTGGTGGCTCACGCCTGTAATCCCAGCACTTTGGAAGTCTGAGGCAGGCGAATCACCTGAGGTCAAGTGTTCAAGACCAGCCTGGTCAACATGGTGAAAGGCCCTCTCTACCAAAAATACAAAAATTAGCTGGGCGTGGTGGCACACATCTGTAATCCCAGCTACTCAAGAGGGTAAGGCAAGAGAATTGCTTGAACCCGGGAGGCAGAGGTTGCAGTGAGCCAAGATCGTGCCACTGCACTCCAGCCTGGGTGACAGAGTGAGACTCAGTCTCAAAAAAAAAAAAAAAGTCAGCTGAGAAAACATTTTTATAACAGAGATTTTGATAAAAATTGCCCCAGGGTCTAGACAGTGGGATTCATTCATTCAACAACTCTATATTGAGTTTTACAATGTCCTTGGTACAGTGGTAGTCCCTGATAATATAATGATGAAAAAGACTGTTTTCTTTGCCCTGGCAGAGTTCTCCAGTGGAGGGTTGAAAATAATTAAGGAAGCAATAGCAGCAAGTATGGGAAGTAAATAAGGAAAGAAGGGGAATTACGGAATCAGATGGGAGGGAAATCTTCCCCAGTCTAGCAGGGTGGGAGTTTAGGGGGTGGAGGTGCATTTCCTTAAAAAATGAAGGCCAAATGGAAACTTGAAGTTGAATCAAAGTTTGCCCAGAGAAGGGAATGGAGAGGAGGGGGAGAGTCCAAAGGCGTATGTTCAAAATTCTAGATATGTGAGATGAGAGGATATGGCTGGCTGTAGGGACGAAGCGTATCTTGACACGAAGTGTGCAATATGGACCAGGGAAAGGTGAGGCCCTGGCAGTAGGTAGGACTTACCCAGAAGAGGCCTCGAAAGCTATTTTACAGAGGCCATTACAGATGCTCCTTGACTTATGAAAGGGTTGCATTCTGACAAATTCATTGTAAGTTGTGAATATCATTAAGTTGAAAATGCATTTAGTACTCCCAACCTCGAAACACTTACAGTAGCCTACAGTTAGGCAAAACCACTTAACACAAAGCCTATTTTATAATAAAGTGTTGAATATCTCATGTAATTTATCAAATACTGCACTGAAAGTGAAAACCAGAATTGCTCGCCGTTCTTCCCAGAATCTCATCATACCACATTTTGCCAGCAGAGGAAAAGATCAAAATTCAAAGAATGGTTTCTACTGAATGTGTAGAGGAATGGAATGTGTAATACAATGGAATGTGTATCGCTTTTGCACCATCGTAAAGTTGAAAAGTCCTAAGTCCAACCATCGTTAAGTCGAGGATTGCTTATAAGGTTTTAAGCAGGGAGGTAACATGATCTGGTGTTTTAAATTCAAATTTATGCACTGCTTACAGTTTCAAGGGGCAAATTGTGGCCAGTGGCTCCTGCCTATAATCCCAGCACTCTGGGAGGCTAAGGCAGGCAGATCACTTGAGTCCGTGAGTTTGAGACCAGACTGGCCAACATGGTGAAATCCTGTCTCTACTAAAAATACAAAAATTAGCCGGCATGGTGGTGCATGCCTGTAGTCCCATCTACTGGAGGGCGGGGGCCGGGGGTGGGTGTTGGAGGTGGGTGGGGGGTGTGTGGGTGGGCTGCGGGTTGACGCAGGAGAATCACTTGAACCCAGGAGGCAGAGGTTGCAGTGAGCTGAGATCGCACCACTGCACTCCAGCCTGGGTGACAGAGTAAGACTCCATCTCATTAAAAAAAAAAAAAAAAAAAAAAAAGGCAAATTGTTTCATACCCTTACTTCCTCCCCACAGCCAGCCACTTTCAAATACTTCAGCTTTTCAGTTTCAGGTATCTCAAACATGGTTTTCCAGTTTCGTCATTATCCATCCACTCCTACCACGGAGAATGAGCACTGGCCCCTTACTGCCTCTGCCCTGTTGTCACTTGCCATCCCCTTCTCTTCCCATGCTGGTCTCCAGAATTATAGTCAGTCCCACAACCCCCGGGGCCTATTCACAGTGGAGCCATGTCATGCATTGGAATCACGTTTCCTACAGAGCATTCTGTCTGGAGTTAATGACTGCTGTTTTATTGGTTGTCCACTTTTCTGTGTGCTATCACAAATTTGAGTCCCCTGTAGTTGTGTAAAGCTCCTCTTAATGTATGTTTGGTTTGTTTTGAGACAGGGTCTCAGCCTGTCGCCCAGGCTGGAGTGCAGTGGTGTGATCACAGCTTACTGGAGCCTCGACCTCCTGGGCTCAAGTGGTCCTCCTACCTTAGCCTCCTGAGTAGCTGGGACCACAGGCATGCACCCCCATGCCTGGCTAATTTTTAAAAATGTTTTGTAGAGGCCGGGCATGGTGGCCTTACAGTAGCCTACAGTTAGGCAAAACCACTTAACACAAAACCTATTTTATAATAAAGAGTTGAATATCTCATGTAATTTATCAAATATTGCACTGAAAGTGAAAACCAGTGTAATTCCAGCACTTTGGGAGGCCAAGGCAGGGTAATCACTTGAGGTCAGGAATTTGAGACCAGCCTGGCCAACATGGTGAAACCCATCTCTACTAAAAATACAAAAAAATTATCTGGGCATAGTGGCACGAGCCCGTAGTCCCAGCTACTCAGGAGGCTGAGGCAGGAGAATCACTTGAAACCAGGAGGCAGAGGTTGCAGTGAGCAGAGATCGCACCAGTGCACTCCAGCCTGGGTAACAAAGAGAGACTCTGTCTCAAAAAAATAAAATAAAATAAAGTAAAATAAAATGTTTTGTAGAGATGGGGTCTCACTATATTGCCCAGGTTGGTCTTGAACTCCTCCCACTTTGGCCTCCCAAAGTGTTGGGATTACAGGCGTGAACCACCGCTTCCAGGTCTCTCAATGTCTTCAGACACCTCAGGGATTGTATCAGTTTCCTGTTGTGGAGGAAACTCTCCTGAACCTGTTCACCTGCTCCAGTCTGGACCAGCAGCTGTGATCTTGGCATCTCCCTTGCCCATCATGCTCTCTCATGGGTTGGATTCTTGTTTCCTGAGTCCCACGTCTTCTTCCCATCTTGGTGTGCTTCTTACTTCTGAGGGCCCATGTTCTCTAGGACCATTTCGCCATCTGATTGCTAGCTTCTTCCAAGTGGGTTCTGGTAGCTTCCCCTGTTCTCTTTGTTCTTGTGACTTCACACCTTAAGAAAATTCTATTTTTTTTTTTTTTTTTTTGAGATGGAGTCTCACTCTGTTGCCCAGGCTGCAGTGCAGTGGCACAATCTCAGCTCACTGCAAGCTCCGCCTCCCAGGTTCATGCCATTCTCCTGCCTCAGCCTCCCGAGTAGCTGGGACTACAGGCGCCCGCCACCACACCTGGCTAATTTTTTTGTATTTTAGTAGAGACGGGGTTTCACCGTGTTAGCCAGGATGGTCTCGATCTCCTGACCTTGTGATCTGCCTGCCTCAGCCTCCCAAAGTGCTGGGATTACAGGCGTGAGCCACCGCGCCCAGCCAAGAAAATTCTTTATTATGGTTTCAACAGTATTAGAAGAGAACAGTGCTAAATATATGCATTTCATCAATCAACTTTAATTATAATATAATTTTCACTTTAGAATTTATCACCCTGGCTTTAGTTTGTAGTCATAGTCAGGATTGGAGTGGGACCAATACTGAAGGCTGAGACATCTACGAGATGGCTGTTTGGATAATTCCAGTAAGAGATGATGACGGCTAAGGGATGGGTTTTGGGGTGAGGAGGGAATGGACTTTCCATGGAATTGCGTGCACACCACTGCACAGCAACCGGGATCGTTTTTGGCGCTTCATAGATGGATAGATGGACAGATACTGTTACTAATTGAGTGTTTATCCTAACATGTATTAGAAAACATATAACTAGATATCAAACTTATTATTTCCCACATGGTATTATTTAAGATGAATTAGATACTTGTTCTGAAAAGAAAGTTGATTTAAAATATTTAGCACATTATATATTGGTGGCATTGTACTTAGAGACTTATCGGTAGGGGGCTGGGCTAGAAGATTGTCGGGCACACAGCATTGCCTGGGATTAGCCCTGCTGGTAACAACAGATCCTCTCCTTCACTTTACCCTCTCTCTTCAGCCCTTTCTTTACACCATGTTTGCCCCACTCTTTTCCTTCTTTGTCTTGTTTTAGAATTTTCTCACTCTGCCTACACATGAACAGCCTTCTCTCACCATCTCCTCAATACTGGCTTTTGCGGTCTTCTGTTTAATAGGAGTTTCAGAGATCCTAGTGGCATTTTTTCTTTTCTTTCTTTTCTTTTTTGAGACAGAGTCTCACTCTGTTGCCCAGGCTGGAGTTCAGTGGCATAATCTTGGCTCACTGCAAACTTCGCCTTCCAGGTTCAAGCAATTCTCCTGCCTCAGCCTCCCAAGTAGCTGGGATTATAGGCATGCACCACCACACACTAATTTTTGTATTTTTAGTAGAGATGGGGTTTCACCATGTTGGCCAGGCTGGTCTCGAACTCCTGGCCTCAAGTGATCCTCCGGCCTTGGCCTCCCAAAGTGCTGGGGTCACAGGCATGGGCCACTGCATCCAGCCCATTTTATTTTTTATTTTTTTAAGAAACATATATCCTTTTATATAAAAGCTTTAGAGTGCACCTTTGAAAAACATCAGCAAACAATTGTATGATAATTTCTGTACTTTTCTCCTCCCCGCTCCACCACTCCCCTCCCTCAAGCCCATAGGAACTCCCAGCCTCTCTAGCATCATGATGAATTCTCTTTTTTTTTTTTTTTTTTTTTTTTTTTTTTGAGATGGAGTTTTGATCTTGTTGCTCAGGCTGGAGTGCAATGGTGCGATCTTGGCTCACCACAACCTTCCCCTCCCGGGTTCAAGCAATTCTCCCACTTCACCCTCCCGAGTAGCTGGGACTACAGGCATGTGCCACCACGCCCGGCTAATTTTCTATTTTTAATAGAGACAGGGTTTCTCCATGTTGGTCAGGCTGGTCTCCAGCTCCCGACCTCAGTGATCCACCCGCCTTAGCCTCCCAAAGTGCTAGGATTACAGGTGTGAGCCACCGTGCCTGGCCGAATCATGATGAATTCTCATCCTGGGTCATGTTACTTACACTTTGGTGGAATTTAGAACAGGGAGCTCACTTCCAGTAACAATAACCCCCTGTATTCCAACTGTGCACAGCTGAGCAGAATGGCCTGAGCCTGTAAATGTGGCTCAGCAGCCATGTGAACACCCTTCCCTGCCACTATCATCCAGCCATCTCACCTCCATCTTCCAGCCAGGACTGTAGAAGAGGGGCTGTAGCGCAAGCATAGCAAGTGCAGCCCAACAGATACGCAGAGAGATAAGCAGTATGCACACATGCACAGACATGCACGTGCACAAGCAACTCCCGCCCCAAATGGTCATACTCGAGATGACCATGAAGATAACCTTCAGTTATCTTGCACCTCTTGCCTCAAGCCAGGGAAGCGTGTGATGCGTTCAGGCCCAGGATAATGGAAGAAAGACAACTGTGTGATCACAGTGGCCCAGAGCAAGCATGTTTAAGTCAAGGAAACACGCGGTCCTTGTCTTCCCTGTGACCTATGGGCAGCTCTGGGAATAATCAGTTCTGGTCCCTAACCACATGGTTGAAAGGACAGCCAGAGATTTAATTCTGAGATATTACAATGATTATTTTGGAACAAAGAATAAAGTGGAAAAGGAGGATACTGATAGCAGTGTCCCTGGAGACTGACAACCCAGCTCTCGCCATACTCCCCACAGAGGAGGTCATTTCCTAGGATATCCCAGTCCCCATTTCAACCATGAGCCAAGGCTATTTTCTTATGCTGAGACCACAGGATTCAGGTACTAGGTTTTTTGCATTGGTGATGTGGGAGTTTCCAAGGGCTGCAGAAATTCTTGGAAAAGAGTCCATGAGTGAGTCCCGTTACACTCCCTTTATAACATCTAAAACTACATCATAAAAAATAATGCAATGGAACAAAGTTTAAAGAGAAGGGCACAGGCTAGGTGTGGTGGCTCACGCCTGTAATCCCAGCACTTTAGGAGGCCAAGGCGGGCGGATCACAAGTTCAGGAGATCGAGACCATCCTGGCCAACATGGTGAAACTCAGTCTCTACTGAAAATACAAAAATTAGCTGGGCATGGTGGCATGTGCCTGTAATCCCAGCTACTTGGGAGGCTGAGGCAGGAGAATCACTTGAACCTGGGAGGCGGAGGTTGCAGTGAGTCGAGATCACGCCACTGCACTCCAGCCTGGCGACAGAGTGAGACTCCATCTCAAAAAATATAAAAAAAGGGCACAGAATATGAAAATGATTCATGACAAGTATAACTCATAAAAGCTTAGATTCCGGTCAGGCGCGGTGGCTTGTGGCTGTAATCCCAGCACTTTGGGAGGCCGAGGCGGGTGGATCACGAGGTCAGGAGTTCAAGGCCAGCCTGGCCAAGATGGTGAAACCCCATCTCTACAAAAAAATACAAAAAAAATTAGCCGGGCATGGTGGCGGGCACATGTAATCCCAGCTACTCCAGAGGCTGAGGCAGAGAATTGCTTGAATCCGGGAGGTGGAGGTTGCAGTGAGCTGAGATCACGCCACTGCACTCCAGCCTGGGCCACAGAGCAAGACTCCATCTCAAAAAAAAAAAAAAAAAAAAAGAGAGAAAAAAAGCTGAGATTCCTAAAAAATCTAGATTTAATAAAAATGTATATGGTTAATCCTTAGCTTCTACTTGGCAAACAGCCAGAGTGTAAAAAAATAAGAATAGACAATTTTATACACAGGAAAATAGAAGCCATAACCTAAACCATTGATAGAAATTAGACAAACAAACAGCTTAGCAGTTCTGTTATCTACCTCTTATTATTATACATGAGCAAAGTGTATAACAATAAAAGCCAGCATCGATGGGACTCAAAGAATCCAAAAGGAAAAAGAATATTTTGCACAATGATGCATTCATAATATTACTTATGATGTTTCAAATAATTCAAAGACAACCCCAAAAGCTCTCACAATAAAATAATTGTGTAAACAATGAAGTACTGATACAACGAGATGCTATGCAGTCATTAAAAACAATAACTGTGGCCGGGCGCGGTGGCTCACGCCTGTAATCCCAGCAGTTTGGGAGGCTGAGGTGGGCAGATCATGGGGTCAGGAGATCGAGACCATCCTGGCTAACACGGTGAAACCCCGTCTCTACTAAAAATACAAAAAATACAAAAAAAAAAAAAAATTAGCCAGGCGTGGTGGCAGGTGCCTGTAGTCCCAGCTACTCAGGAAGCTGAGGCAGGAGAATGGCGTGAACCCGGGAGGCGGAGCTTGCAGTGAGCCGAGATTGCGCCCCTGCACTCCAGCCTGGGTTACAGAGCAAGACTCTGTCTCAAAAAAAAAAAAAAAAATAATAATAATAAGTGCGATGGTCACTGAAATGTGTATATTTGGAAAGAATGCAGAGAGACAGAGAGTATGTAGGCAATGGTTTCAATTGAATGTCTCCAAGCTAATGAGGGTTAAAAGTGATTTCAGAGAGATGCACCTAGTTTATGGGATTTCCTTTCCTGTAAAGTTAAGTGTGTAATAAAAATGTAAGTGTATATAGACATATATCATATAAAAGAGGTGGTGGAGAGTAATTTCTTCTTTCTCCTTACTTCCCGGGAGAGCCATGAGGATGAATTAAGTGGTTTGAAATTTTCGGATCAAAATATGAGACTCTAGAATGAGCAAATGGTTTAGGTTCTTCCTTGGAGACATTTAAGAATATCCATCTGTCAAGTGTTAGGATGTTTTTGAATTAATATAATGACATTAGAAAATGCTCTTCATTAGTGCTGGTTTTGATTTTAAAATGACTCTAGGATGCATTCCCCCCATGATGTCTGTCTGTCTGTCCCTCCACTTAGACACACATATACCCATTACATTAACATTAGCCTTTGCTATTTGGCATTAGTAACAAAGGAAGAGAAAAAATTCCCAAAGTAGTTACCATGCCTCACTCAACACCCATCCGATTTAATTCATTTTTTTTACTCTCCCCACTTGCCTCTCCCCTACCACCCACTCACTGCATACACACCCTACAAATGCCACTATCACCCAGATGTATTTCTATGGATCCACCATTAACAATGTAGTATCATAAACTAAGACATTGTACTATATTTCTTCCCCTCATTTTTTCTGTGTCCTGGTATTTCCCCAATAGTATTGATGATGTAACAGGCCAGCCTTACATCAAAACAAGAGAAGGTGGGAAAAGAGTTGCCCAGTTATTTGGAAAATTCTCTTGTTTTTTTTTTTTTTCTAATTGCAGTCTCGCTTTGTCACCCAGGCTAGAGTGCAGTGACACGATCACAGCTCACTGTGATCCTCAACCTCCTGGGCACAAGTGTTACTCTCATCTCATCTCAGCCTCCTGACTAGCTGCGACCACAGGTACCACCACCACACCCAGCTAATTTTTAACATTGTAGAGACGGGGTCTTGACATGTTGCCCAGGCTGGTCTCAAACTCCTGGGCTCAAGTGATCCTCCCACCTTGGCCTCCCAAAGTGCTGGGATTACAGGCCTGAGACACCATGCCTGGCCTGGAAAATGTCTTTTCTCTCTTTCTTTCTTCCTTTCTTTTTCTTTCTTTCTTTCCTTCCTTCCTTCCTTCTTATCTTTCTTTCTTTCTCTCTCTCTCTCTCTTTCTCTCTTTCTCTCTCTCTCTTTCTCTTTCTTTATCTCCCCCTCTTTCTTTTTACAGAGTCTTGCTCTGTTGCCCAAGCTGGAGTGCAGTGGTGCGATCTTGGCTCACTCCAACCTCTGCCTCCTGGGTTCAAGTGATTCTCATGGCTCAGCCACCTGAGTAGCTGGAATTACAGGCACTCGCAACCACGCCTGGCCAGTTTTTGTACTTTTAGTAGATATGGGTTTTTGCCATGTTGGCTAGGCTGGTCTTGAACTCCTGTCCTCAAGTGATCTGCCCATCTAGCCTCCTGAAGTGCTGGGATTACAGGCGTGAGCCACCATGCCTGGCCTGGCCTGGAAATTTTCTTATATGAAAATACTGAATATTTTAATTATATGGAAAAAGATATGATAAAGAAACACATTTTAGCATTACATTTCTTGGGTATATAATGTAATATACATGGAGGGCTGTTAAAATGCCATAATGATATTCCAAGCTTGTAAAATTCTGAAAAAGAAATTATAGAATGGGAGTCTGTTCCATTCCCTCCCAAGAGAGTGTGCAACATATATTATTAAATGAAAAAAAAGAATACAAAATTATGTATATGATAAGAGATGAACTATGCAACACACACACACACACCATTCAGAAAAAAATTTAATAGTGGCTATTGGCAAATTGGAATTGTGAGTAACTTAAATTTTCTTTTACAAGGCCAGGCACTATAGCTCACGCCTGTAATCCCAGCACTTTGGGAGGCCGAGGTGGGCACATCACCTGAGATCAGGAGTTCGAGATCAGCCTGGCCAACATGGCGAAACCCCATCTCTACTGAAAATACAACACACACAAAAAAAATTAGCCAGATGTGTTGGCATGCGCCTGTAGTCCCAGCTACTTGGAAGGCTGAGACAGGAGAATCACTGGGACCCGGGAGGCGGAGGTTGCAGTGAGCTGAGACTGCAGCACTGCACTTCAGCCTGGGCAACAGAGCGAGATTCCATCTCAAAAAAAAAAAAAGTTTTATTTTACAGAGTTTCCCAAATGTTATAGATTTTCTACCATAAGTATGTGTTAGCTTCATAACAAAGAGAAAGTCAGATGTGTTATTAATAGAAAGCAACATCCAAGAGTCCAGGAAGAAACCTCGTCACTAAATCTAGGGCAGACACCATGAGGAAGTGGCAATTATTACAGCTCCCCCGTAAAGCGCAGCGTTTAGTGAAGACCTTGTTTAGTCAAGGACAGGCTCTCATGAGAGGGTGGCCAAGATGGTTGGAGAAATAAATCAAGACAGCGAGAATGAAATGGCAGACGCGGCAACATCTCATTAACACTTAGCTCAGATGACTCAGTAACGTCAATAAGGAAGGGTGACTACAACTGTGTACTTGTGAAAGATAGAACAGGGCCTCGGGGAACGTGTGCTCCAATCTTCTCATTTTTCAGAGGAAGAGCCCCAGAAGAGCTCACCTCACTCACAGCTGCTCAGTGGTAGAGCCGGGATCAGAACTCCAGCATCCTGATTCCGGATTCAGCACTGTTCACAGCTCTCTGCTTGGTGTGGTAAGGTAAGTATTTATGGTGATTTTTGGTGATTTATGGTTGATTTATGGTGATTTTTGTCACGGTTTGCATTAGGAAAGTATGTCATATAATCTATGTCTGGGACTGGAACCCCTCTGACTGGGCTTGTTTCCCTAACTTCACGCTAGCTGAATCCCCATATATTATTCCACATCAGGACAGATTCCCAATATTCCTGTATTTCTCTTAATTCCAACTTCTTCCCTACAATGAACCGAACCTAATGTTTGTGTCTCTCTAAAATTCATATATAAAATTTTTTTTTTTTTTTGAGACAGAGTTTCACTCTTGTCCCCCATGCTGGAGTGCAATGGCGTGATCTCGGCTCACTGGCTCACTGCAACCTCTACCTCCTGGGTTCAAGCGATTCTCATGCCTCAGCCTCCCGAGTGGCTGGGACTACAGCAGCGCACTACCATGCTTGGCTAATTTTTGTATTTTTAGTAGAGACGGGGTTTCATCATGTTGGCCAAGCTGGTCTTGAACTCCTGACCTCAAGTGACCCGCCTGCCTCGGCCACCCAAAGTGCTAGGATTACAAGTGTGAGCCACCACGTCCAGCCTTTTTTTTTTTTTTTTTCTTTTTTAGATAGAGTCTCTGTCGCCCAGGCTGGAGTGCAGTGGCGTGATCTCAGCTCACAGCCACCTCTGCCACCTGGGTTCAAGTGATTCTCATGCCTCAGCCACCTAAGTAGCTGGGACCACAGGCACCCAACACCATGCCCGGCTAATTTTTATATTTTTAGTAGAGACAGGATTACACTATGTTGGCCAGGCTGGTCTTGCAAGTGATCCACCTGCCTCAGCCTCCCAAAGTGCTGGGATTACAGGCATGAGCCACCACGCCCGGCCTCATATATAAAATTCTAACCCCCAATGTGACACTATTAGGAGGTGGGGCCTTTGGGAGGTAATTAGGTTATGAGACTGGAGCCCTCATAAATGGGATTAGTACCTTATAAAAGAGACTCCAGGCTGGGCCAAGAGCAGTGGTGTTTACACCTAATTGATAACAACTAGTTTCAGACTTCTTTGTTCCTTCTCCACTCCCACTGCTTCACTTGACTAGCCTTAAAAACAAAAAAGAAAAGAGAGAGAAAGCAGGCCGGGTGTGGGGGCTGACGCCTGTAATCCCAGCACTTTGGGAGGCCAAGGTGGGCAGACTGCTTGAGTCCAGGAGTTAGAGACCAGCCTGGGCAACATAGTGAGACTCCATCTCTACAGAAAATACTAAAATTACCCAGGCAAGGTGGAGCACACCTGTATTCCCAGCTACTCGGGAGGTGGGAGGATTGCTTGAGCCCAGGAAGTTAAGGTTACAGCAAACCAGGATCACTCCACTGCACTCCATCCAGCCTGGACGAGAGAGTGAGACCCTCTCTCAAAAAAAAAAAAAAAAAAGAAAAAAAGAAAAAAGAGAGAGAGAGGGATCCCAGAGAGCTCTCTAGCCCTCTTTCTGCCATGTGAGGATACAACCAGAAGTCAGCAGTCTGCAACCCTGAGGACAGTCCTCACCAGAACCTAACCATGCTGGTGCTCTGATCTCAGACTTCCAACATCCAGGACGGTGAGAAGTACATTTCTGTCGTTTATAAGTACCCAGGGTGGGGTACTTTGTTACGGCAGCCTAGGACACTCCCCCAAACCACTGCCACTGTCTTGGGTCAAACTGCCATTAATTCCTCTCCTTCTCCTACTTCCGCTTCTTATTGTCATTCTTTTTCATGGTGTTTAAACTACCAAAAAAACACAAAAACCCTGAAAGAATCATATAAGAATTCCCATGATCCTTCATGCAAACAGAAACATTGTTAAAATTTTGCCACATTGGTAAGAACACCCCTAGCTGTCATATATATGATAGTTTCCATATATCATATATATGTAAAAGCATCCCTATGTCATGTAGGTACATAAGAACACGCATATTTTCCTGAGTCATTTGGACGTAGGTTGGCGACATCATTACACTTCACCCCTCAATGCTGCAGCATCACCTAAGCATAAAGTCATTCTCCTACATAACCATGATATCATTATCAAACCTAAGAAAACCAGTACCCCATATTGAGTTCAAACTCAACTGTCCCCAACTATTCCCTAGTGTCCTTCATGTGGTTTTTATTGTTTTTTGTTTTTTGTTTTGAGACAGTGCTGGGATTACAGGCGTCAGCCACTGTGCCCAGCCATCTTTCAGGCAGCTTTAAGTGTCAGGATCTCATTAGGGGTTAAATATTTTATGTGGTGGTTGGTTCTCCTTCTTTTGATTTAGAACATTCTCCTCCCATTTTGTTTTTATTTTTGTTTTTTATGACACTGAGTTTTTGAACAGTTCCAGCCTGTTTTCCTACGTAACCTCCCACATTCTGGATTTGTCTAGTTGTTTCCTCATTATTAGATTCAGGTTGAAGCTCTTTGGAAAGAATACTGTACAGGAGATGTTACCCATCGCTTATCACATCCCTTGGAAGGTCCACAACGTCAGGTTGTCCCACTATGTGGAGCCTGATCTCTTGCTTAAGATGATGGCCACCAGATCTTTCCACTGCAAAGGTACAGTTTCCACCGTGTAGTTAATAATCCATGGAATGGCCAGGCGCGGTGGCTCATGCCTGTAATCCCAGCACTTTGGGAGGCCGAGGCGAGTGGATCACCTGAGGTTAGGAGTTCGAGACCAGCCTGACCAACATGGTGAAACCCCATCTGTACTAAAAATACAAAATTTTGTATTTTGTCATTAATCCTTGGGCGTGGTGGCACATGCCTGTAATCCCAGCTACTCAGGAGGCTGAGACAGGAGAATCACTTGAACCCGGGAGGTGGAGGTTGCAGTGAGCCGAGATCTCGCCATTACACTCCAGCCTAGGCAACAAAAGCAAAACTCCATCTCAAATAATAATAATAATCCATGAAATGAAAGGATAAATGCTTGAGGGGATAGATACCCATTTTCCATGATGCGATTATTATGCATTGCATGCCTGTGTCAAAACATCTCCCATACCCCATAAATATATACACCTACTATGTACCCAGAAAAATTAAAAATAAACTTTTTTCTTTTTGAGACAGAGTCTTATTCTGTTGCCCAGGCTGGAGTGCAGTGGCGCAATCTTGGCTCACTGCAACCTCCACCTCCCAGGTTCAAGTGATTTTCCTGCCTCAGTCTTCTAAGTAGCTGAGATACAGGCTTGCGCCACCACACCTGGCCAATTTTTTTGTATTTTTAGTAGAGACCCAGTTTTGCCGTGTTGGTCAGGCTGGTCTTGAACTCCTGACCTCAAATGATCCACCCACCTCAGCCTCCCAAAGTGCTAGGATTACAGGGGTAAAGCCACTGTACTTGGCCAAAAAAAATAAAAAATTATTTTAAAAAATCTGTGGAGTGACTCTTTAAAACCACGTGAATATCTTAGCATCTGCTGATAATCTGGATCCTTGCCTGAATTGGGGTTGCAGAACGGTGACTTTTCTAATTATCTATTTTATCAGCTGACATTGCCTGCACAGAAGGAGTCCCCACCACGTCTCGAGTGCCTTCCCACGGCAGTCCCCTGACTCTCCTTCCTGCCTCCAGTCTGGCTCACTCCACTCACATGCTGCCAGAATGAGCATGCTCTATTGCAAATCTGGACACGTCCATGCCCCTGTTCGAAATCAGGGGCAAGCTGAAATCTATGCTTGACCCAGGGCCCTTTGTGATCTGTCTCCTGCCTACCGCTTTGGGTTCATCTCTCCCTGTACCCACTCATGTACTCCATTCAAACTACAGACATGTGCTGCAGAATGACTTTTTGGTAAACAACAGACCTCATATACAACAGTGGTCTCATAAGATTAAAATACTGCATTTTTTTTTTTTTTTTTTTTTTTGAGATGGAGTCTCACTCTGTGGCCCAGGCTGGAGTGCTGTGGTGCGATCTCGGCTCACTGCAAGCTCCACCTCCCAGGTTCATGCCATTCTCCTACCTCAGCCTCCCAAGTAGCTGGGACTACAGGAGCCCGCCACTACGCCCGGCTAATTTTTTGTATTTTTTAGTAGAGACGGGGTTTCACCGTGTTAGCCAGGATGGTCTCGATCTCTTGGCCTCGTGATCCACCCGCCTCGGCCTCCCAAAGTGCTGGGATTACAGGCGGGAGCCACCGCACCCGGCCCAAAATACTGCATTTTTACTATGCCTTTCCTATGTTTAGAGGTTTAGATACACAAACTCTTACGGTTGCATTCCAGTTGCCTGCAGTATTCAGTGCAGGAACATGCTGTACGGGCGCATAGCCTAGGAGCAATAGGCTCTACCATATAGTCAAGGTACATAGCAGGCTATGCCATTTAGATGTGTGTAAGTACTCTATGATGTTCGCACAAGGGTAAAATTGCCTAACAATGCATTTCTCACAACATAACCCTGTTGTTAAGTGATGCATGTCAGTATTTACGGTTCTCCAAATACACCACCCTACTCCACACCCTGTACCTCTGCACAAACTAGCCCCTCTGCCTGCAAGATCCTTCCCCACCATCCAATCTCATCTGACTCCCACTTGTTTTTCAAGCTCTGGCTTACAAATCGCTTCCTCTGAGCCCAAGGTTGAGTTGGTGCCTTTTGGGGGCTCTCATGATAACTGTGCATACTTCTGTCATTGCAACTGTGGCCTTAAACTTTATTTGTATTGATTGATTGATTGATTAATTGATTTTTGAGACAGGGTCTTGCTCTGCCGCCCAGGCTGAGTGCAGTGGCGCAGTCACAGCTCACTGCAGCCTCAACCTCCTGGGCTCAAGGGATCTTTCTGCCTCAGCCTCCTGAGTAGCTGGGACTACAGGTGCACACCACCATGCCAGGCTAATTTTTTTTTTTTTTTTTTTTTTGAGACGGAGTCTCGCTCTGTCGCCCAGGCCAGACTGCGGACTGCAGTGGCGCAATCTCGGCTCACTGCAAGCTCCGCTTCCTGGGTTCACGCCATTCTCCTGCCTCAGCCTCCCGAGTAGCTGGGACTACAGGCGCCCGCCACCGCGCCCGGCTAATTTTTTTGTATTTTTAGTAGAGACGGGGTTTCACCTTGTTAGCCAGGATGGTCTCGATCTCCTGACCTCATGATCCACCCGCCTCGGCCTCCCAAAGTGCTGGGATTACAGGCGTGAGCCACCGCGCCCGGCCCTAATTTTTAAATTTTGCAGAAACAGGGACTCCCTATGTTTCCCAGGTTGGTCTTAAACTCCTGGGCTCAAGTGATCCTCCTGCCTCAGCCTCCCAAGGTGCCGGGATTACAGGTGTGAGCCACTGCGCCCAGCCAAGTCCTGCACTTTAAATGTTTGTTAGTTTGCTTGTCTCTCTCACTTGATTGTAAGGTTTTTATGGGAAGAAAGCTGTCTTTTATCTTTGTATAACAGGAATCTAGAGCTATGTCTGGCATTAAGTAAGCACTTAGCAAATATTTTCCAATGAATTCATTCATGTTTCCTCAAATTATTAGAGAATGTGACTAGCTTCTGGAACAAATAGATTATATGATCTTTAAGGACAAAAAACATGTCTTATAAATCTTGGTATTGCTCATATCTCCCACCCTATTGCTGGTTAATTTGCATTAGTAATGAGTAAGTTGACACTTATAAAAGTGTATAGTTATATTACTTTTTATCTGCCTAGTATATTTTCCTTTTGAGAATTTCTCCTCCTCTACCTAACAAGGTGGCTAATTCCTTGCCTGGTCTTCCCCACACATGTTGGGGTCATAATGTGAGCTAGCCAATTAGAGGACTTCATCCTCCTGGCTGCAATGATTGGTTCAGGCAAGGACACCTTACCCAGGCCAGGCCTGTCAGAGTCCTCCCTGGTACTTCTGATGGAGCTGACGGGAAAGACACGCAGGGAAAACAATGTAATACTCATCGCTGCCCAAGGCCATCTGCCACTCAGCAGAGAGTTCCTACCTGAGAAAAAAGCCAATGTTAAGACAAACAAGTCAACCGAGGGAGAGAGATGGAACTAATGACTTTATTTATTTATTAATATTTATTTTTTGAAACAGAGTCTTACTCTGTCACTCAGGCTGGAATGCAGTGGCATGATCTCAACTCACTGCAACCTCCACCTCCTGGGTTCAGGCGATTCTCCTTCCTCAGCCTCCCCAATAGCTGAGATTACAGGTGCTTGCCACCACACCCAGCTAATTTTTGTATTTTCAGTAGAGACGGGGTTTCACCATGTTGGCCAGGCCGCTCTCAAACTCCTGACCTCAAATGATCTGCCCACCTTGGCCTCCCAAAGTGCTGGGATTACAGGCGTGAGCCACCACACCGGGCTTTAATGATATTATTTAAATCCCTAAACCCAGTCACATCGGAAGAGTCATGTTTTAAACTTCCCGGTACTGGAGTCAACGAATCCCTTCCTTCTTGCCTTGGAAGCTGACAAAATCCTGACTAATATTCAAGATATGCATTCTACAACATTCCACATTTGGCTAAGCAGGCAAATTGAGATGGGGAAGAATTTCACCTCCATGTAGTCCTTTGCTGCTTTTTGAGAAATGATGTAGAGACAGCTGTCTCAGCACCAGTCAGGAAGAGGGCTTTCATTTGGGCTGCCTCTCATCTGCCTCAGAAGGAACAGGTATATTTGGGGGCCCCATTCTCATGCTCCTGTCCCCTAAGTCTCTTCCAAAGGAGCAAAGCACACCAAGAAAACATGCCACACGTGAAAGACTGGCCTCATCTTCATTATTTCTGTTCCAGGAGGTTATTGAATCCCTCCTCCTCACAAATGGCCAACTTGTGTTCTTCTGAGGTCAGCAACAATCTGCTTTGCTCCTGGCAGCTCTCAATTTCCAGGGATATGAGGGGGTTGGGGTGGAGAGCTAAGGACCAGGACTGCCTCCCAAGACAGGATGTGGATATCTGCCCAAGGACCCTAGGAGTTAAAAATGTCAAGTACGGATTGGGCACGGTGCCTCACACCTGTAATCCCAGCACTTTGGGAGGTCGAGGTGGGTGGATCACCTGAGGTCAGGAGTTCGAGACCAGCCTAGCCAACATGATGAAACCCTGTCTCTACTAAAAATACAAATACATTAGCTGGGTGTGGTGGCACGCACCTGTAATCCCAGCTACTCAGGAGGCTGAGGCAGGAGAATCACTTGAACCCAGGAGGCAGAGGTTGCAGTGAGCCGAGATCGTACCATGGCACTCCAGCCTGGGCGACAGAGTGAGACTCTGTCTAAAAAAAAAAAAAAAAAAAAGGCAAGTGCATTTTAGAGAACCAATATTGAGGACATTTTCCATCTTTCATCTTAAATTTCTGGAAAATTTCTCAGAGGCATGAGAGGAAGAAAGCAAGCCCTGCCTTCTTTAAAGCAGCCTACAGAGCTCATAGACTACAGGCAAGGGAGAGAGGAGCATCTTGGTTTAAAGATGATTCCGTCATGTCAGCCCACTTGGGTATCCTGTGTGGCTGTTTTCAGGAGTAAGGGGAAATAGCCAAGCTCTTTAAGAAGAGCATTTTCATGGTTTTAATTTGAATTAGCTTAACTAGATGCTTTTCTCCTAACTACTAGCTAAGATAAACTGCACCCTCCAGGGAACCAGAGTTGTGATGAAGTGCAGAAGAAGGAGAAAGGAAAGTAATCTTACAGCATGAACTCCTGCCCCAGAGGCCTGGGTGGGGCGTTTCTGGATAGAGCACATAATCCCCCAGACAGAAATAAATTGGAAGAAGAGAAGAACAACAGGAAGGGATGAGAGAGAGGCACAGAAAAAAAAAGGACACTCAAGATCAACTATAATATAATTACTTGGCATCTTCACTCAAGGGTAGAGGTGTGGGTTTTCCCCAAGTTTTCCCTTTCTAGAGATGCCAAGGTGAAAACTGAGTCCCTCTTGGCTGGGCCCAGTGGCTCACGCCTGCAATCCCAACACTTTGGGAGGCCGAGGCGGGCAGATCACTTGAGGTCAGGAGTTTGAGACCAGCCTGGCCAACATGGTGAAACACCATCTCTACTAAAACGACAAAAATTAGCTGGGCATGGTGGTGGGCGCCTGTAGTTCCAGCTACACAGGAGGCTGAGGTGGCAGGATGGTTTGAACCTGGGAGGAGGAGGTTATAGTGAGCCAAAATCGTGCCACTGCACTCCAGCCTGGGTGACGTCAGAGCAAGACTCCATCTCACACACAAAAAGAATCCATTATTTCACGTTTTTGAGTTTGGAGAAGGGTAGACAGTGGTTTCCACCTTCATTCCCTGGGAATCTGTGCCAACCTTGAACTTTAATTTTTCTGACCCTTGCTACCAAACTTCATCCCTAGGGAGGAGGCAGAACACTGGCTCAGAACAATGACGGGAGATGAAGAAGAACAGAGCTTCTCTCTTCAAACCTGTTTCCATGGTCCACCCCACAGCTGCAGCTACACGTCCCGCAGTTCAAGGAAGCCATATCCTTCCGGGCATTTTCAGCTTTTGCGTCCCCCTTTTCAACAGGACAGGTGTCCCGGTTCTCACACGGACTCTAAGTTGAAAAGATAAGAAAGGAGACTTACCATAAGTTTCAAAAAAACCCAGTGCCTTGGTTTGAAACAGCCTGGTAAAATGAAGGAAGGAAGGACTTCCTCCTTGGCTGCAGGACTGGATTCTGAGAGCACCCTCTCTTTCTCTGAGTCCCCTGGTTTATATAATTTGAATAACTAGGGATTCCAGAGCATTACCTCATAGCAAATGCTAGGAAGCATCAGAATACTGTTTGCCTAGAGGGAGTGGGAGGAGGGATGAGAACCAAGGTAGAGGAGAGAGAAGGGAGGTTAAAGCCTGGTCCCAGGTGCAGCTGCAGGTGGGGGGACTCACTCTGTGTCATGCCTATCCCTAGTGACACCCCAGGGAGATGACCAGCTTAATAGCTGCACTCTGGGTCCCATTCAGTCAGAGGTTTCTCCTCAGAGACCAGGCAGGCACATTGAGCCCTATCTGCCACTCCATCTGTGCCCCTGTTGAGTCCCCAGACGGCAACACTCCCTCTCCACCTTCTCCACCTCCCCTGCACAGCCTCCGTCAATGTCCAGTACTGATTCTCCTGTATCCCTTCTGTCTCTAGGGCTGTCATTGCCCTTGGTCTCAGCAAAAATTCTGGAGGTGCATCGGCTGTGCCAGCAGCCCTGGTCTCCCTGCAGCCTCCCAGATGCCCACAGAAAGCCCAGGGAAGGCTGATCCTGCATCCCTGACTAATGATCACGCCTTCAAGACGGGATGCAGCCTGTGACTCAAACTGTGGAGGCTCAGCAAATGCAAGAGAGTGGGAGGGAGAAGAGAGGAACACGGAGGAAAACAAAGATGAAGAGGGGGAGTAGGCAGAGAAAAAGCAAGGGAAGAAAGGCCTCAGATTCTTGAAATCTGCAAAGCTGCCCTCCCCACTGTGGCCTCTGCAGTGATTAAAATGGTGAGATACACATCTTCTACAACAGTCCTGCAGTCTTGTTGGATATTACTCCAAGGGAAGAGAGGATGAAAGTTAGACGAGGATGTGAGCGTACTTGCAGCTACTGAAACTTGCAGTACAGTATCATGTATACTGCATATCCAAATTCAGATTTATATAGACAGTGAACTCTTAAGGACAAGAACCATGGCTCTTTTCACGCTAGAGAGGTAATAATATATGCCAAAACTGTTTTAGTTTGGTCCTGTTCCAAGAAAATGAGCCTGGCCAGGAAGGATATTTAAAGACAAGTGAGGTTCACTCTTTCCACAGGAAGTTGTTATGTCCATGGGAGGTAGTTATGACATATGTTATATGTGACGGTTTATAATAACAAACTCTATTATAAAAAGAGATTTGCTTTGTTTGTGCAGTATATATGGACACATAGGGGTTTGTATGTACAGACTATAGGTCTACAGCTATATTTAAAAGTTCATGTGGCTGGGCACAGTGGCTCACACCTGTAATCCCAGCACTTTGGGAGGCCGAGGTAGGCGGATAACCTGAGGTCAGGAGTTCAACACCAGCCTGGTCAACATGCTGAAACCCTGTCTCTACTAAAAATACAAAAATCAGCCAGGCATGGTAGTGGACACCTATAATCCCAGCTATTTGGGAGGCTGAGGCAGGAGAATCGCTTGAACCCAGGAGGTGGAGGTTGCAGTGAGCCGAGATTGCGCCACTGTACTCCAGTCTGGGTGACAGAGTGAGACTCCATCTCAAAAATAAATTAAGAAAAAAAAAGTTCATTTAATGTTCCAAGACAAGGGTTCTAATCCTATAAAACCCACCATTAGCTTTTTAAAAAAGTATTTCTAATTTGCTGAAATGCAATTCACAAGTGATATAGCCTTTATAATCACACGATTTCTTAAAATTCTTATTTACCTGTGATATAAAAGAGAAATAAGGCCGGGCATGGTGACTTACACCTGTAATCCCAGCACTTTGGGAGGCCGAGGTGGGCGGATCACCTGAGGTCAGGAGTTCGAGACCAGCCTGGTCAACATGGTGAAACCCCGTCTCTACTAAAAATTCAAAAATTAGCCGGGCGTGGTGGCACTCACCAGTAATTCCAGCTACTCAGGAGGGTGAGGCAGGAGAATCGCTTGAACCCAAGAGGTGGAGGTTGCAGTGAGCCAAGATTGCGCCATTGCACTCCAGCCTGGGCAACAGAGCATGACTCAGTCTCAAAAAAATAAATAAAGTAAAGATAGAGAAATAAAGAATAATAATTTATAATGAAATCAATTGTATTTTAATACATAAAGGCTAAGGTCCAGCTAAACTAGAAGACATAATAAGCAGGCAGATGCTTGTGCCTACTTGTAATGAATAAGTTTGGATTTCAGAAAAGTAAGATATTTATTTATTTATTTATTTTTTGAGACAGGGTCTCACTCTGTTGCCCATGCTGGAGTGCAGTGGAGTGATCTCGGCTCACTACAATCTCTGCCTCCCGGGCTCAAGCGATTTTTGTGCCTCAGCCTCCCGAGTAGCTGAGATTACAGGCACCTGCCACCACCTGGCTAATTTTTATATTTTTAGTAGAGATGGGGTTTCACCATGTTGGCCAGGCTGGTCTTGAACTCCTGGCCTCAAGTCATCACCTTCCTCAGCCTCCCAAACTGCTGAGATTACAGGCATAAGCCACCATGCCTGGCCTCATCATTTATCTTTGTATTTAACATTTAGAAATAAAGGTTAAGGTGGGGTGCAGTGGCTCGCACCTGTAATCCCAGCACTTTGGGAGGCTGAGGTGGGAGGATCACTTGAG
This sequence comes from Homo sapiens, assembly GCF_000001405.40. Classification (NCBI taxonomy): domain Eukaryota; kingdom Metazoa; phylum Chordata; class Mammalia; order Primates; family Hominidae; genus Homo; species Homo sapiens. The sequence continues at coordinate 24,998,674 of NC_000002.12, read as the reverse complement.
GATAGGAATTTGAGACCAATCTGGGCAACATAGCAAGACCCCATCTCTATAATAAATAAAAAAATTAGCAGGGTGTGGTGGCGTGCCCCTATAGTTCAGCTACGTGGGAGGCAGAGGTGGGAGGATGGCTTGAGTGTTACTGAACTCCAGCCTGGGAAAGAGTGAGACCTTGTCTCAAAAAAAAAAAAAAAGAAAAAAAGAAGAAGAAGAAAGAAAAAGAAAAAGACAATATGTAGATGAATGTGTATGGCTGTGTTTCAATAAAACTACTTACAAACACAGGCTAGATTTGGCCCATAAGCCGTAGTTGCTGTGCTCAGTCCTAGTCTTTAAGATTCATACAGTCAGGGTGTGTGCCTTGTTTAGAATTAATCTTCAGCACCTAATACAATACCTGTCAAGTAAGTAGGTTTGCTGAATAAATGAATGTATGAGTGAATGAATCAAATGCTTTGTTATCCAACATGGAGCTATGCCTTTAAAGAGTACCTTGGTGACATTCTCTCCGGCCTATGCATAAAGCCATGTCTACTTCCATACTCCTGGACTTTGCTTTTTTAAACCACACAACCACTTCTATTCTTTTTTTTTTTTTTTTTTTGAGACGGAGTCTCATTCTGTTGCTCAGGCTGGAGTGCAGTGGTGCAATCTCGGCTCACTGCAACCTCCACCTCCTGGGTTCAAGTGATTCTCCTGCCTCAGCCTCCTGAGTAGCTGGGACTACAGGCATGCACCACCAGGTCTGGCTAATTTTTGTATTTTTAGTAGAGATGGGGTTTCAGCATGTTGGCCAGGCTGGTGTTGAACTCCTGACCTCAAGTGATCCTCCTGCTTTGGCCTCCCAAAGTGTTGGGATTACAGGCGTGAGCCATCACACCCAGCCCACTCGTATTCTTTATTTCAATCCAGTCTCTCATTCTCCAAGAACAATGAACCCACTTGCCCATTTACTGCACTACTGTTACACTGTCACCTTTCAGGAGCCTAGTGTGACCCAAAGGGAGGCCTGAGCTCCATGGTCCCATGTATCTGCATGATGTCACAGTCAAATAAACAGTGGTCACCAACAAGAAGTATTTAAAAAGATTTCCAGGCTGGGCACAGTGGCTCACGCCTGTAATCCCAGCACTTTGGGAGGCCGAGGCAGGTGAATCACCTGAGGTCAGGAGTTCAAGGCCGGCCTGGCCAACATGGTGAAACCCCGGCTCTACTAAAAATAAAAAAAATAGACGGGCTTGGTGGCCCACGCCTGTAATCCTGAGGTAGGAGAATCACTTGACCCGGGAGGCAGAGGTTGCAGTGAGCCGAGATTGTGCCACTGCACTGCAGCCTGGGCAGCAGAGACTCCATATCAAAAAAAATAAAATAAAAGGAATTCCAATTCTATTTATATACTTCAGAGTCTATTAATAAAAACCTATCCATGACTCACAGTAACACCTCATAGAGATCTCCTTTCCCCCATTCCTCTCGATCTTGGTGTCTCTTTCTCGTTACTCTCGCCTCTTTTCCTTTTTCCCTAGTCAAACACTTGTGGCTCTTTACAAAGAGTGACACATACTGATTTAGGCCATCCACTGTTCTTTCATATTTACACTCCACCCCCGTCCCCCTGTTGGGGAAGTGCAATTATCTTTGGAGGCTTCTAGAGCTGCTGCTAGATTCTTAGTGATTCATACCTTGTGCCTGAAATCCTTAAGGTTGAAGAATGGGGAAATTCTCTAGAAATTGCACAGTCACAGGCAAGAAGGGATATGTTCACTAGGCAAAAATCCTCAAGACTGCAGGCTCCCATTAGATGGTCTTCTTTGCCAAAGCAAAAGAAAATATGGGGCCATCTCTCATCTCCCCAAGCTTCAAATGTGGTCAATAAATTGGGGTGTGAAAAATGCCAAAAAATAAGTGGCCAAATATTCACAGTGATACTGCTTATGACATACTCTCTCACGCTGAAAGCAAATCAGGCTGTGAAGTCTCTCATCTGAGCCCAGCTGGCTCACCAGAACTCCGATTGGGGTTGGAGATCAACTGGCCCCCATGCACTGAAACTCACTGGCCAGAGATCTGGATAAGTGGCAGAGGCCCACCTATACCATTTGTTTTGCTACTCCAGACCTTAATTCTGCCACGTGTTCACTTTTTCTAAGGGATATTCTGGTTTCTTTTTCTCTTCTTTAGCCCTGTAAAATTCACCAATTCTGAGAATTCATTGGGACTGTAGAGGTTGTGATAATGTCTTTATTAAATATTTTTAATATAAAAAAACCTTATCTTGATTTAAGTGCCAAGATCCTCTAGACCTTGTTCCATGGACCCCTGTTAATAGCTATTCTTGCACGAACACATCAGTGGACCTGCTTTCCTTTCCTTGCTGAACAATATGATTATGAATCTGACATTTGAATCCCAAAAATTATCCATCCATCCTGCCATACTTAATTACTTATAGTTGTAAAGAAGCTTCAGCCAGGCGCGGTGGCTCACGCCGGTAATCTCAGCACTTTGGGAGGCTGAGAGGGGTGGATCACTTGAGGTCAGGAGTTTGAGACCAGTCTGGCTAACATGGCAAAACCCCATCTCTACTAAAAATACAAAAATTAGCTGGGTGTGGTGGCACACGCCTATAATCCCAGCTATTCGGGAGGCTGAGGCAGGAGAATCGCCTGCAGAGGCAGAGGTTACAATGAGCCAAGATCACGTCACTGCACTCCATCTGGGGCAACACAGCGAGACTCTGTCTCAAAAATAAATAAATAAATAAATAGATAGATAAATAAATAAATAAATAAACAAGAAGCCTCACAGCAAACTAACAGTTTTTCTATTTTGAAGCCCATTAATACCTTTTCAAGGGAGATGCTGGGGATTGTCACTTAGTTTAGTGGCATTTCTCAGCCTTCAAGCCCTTTCATGCCTACACCATTGCATTGGCAGGTGTTGACCATGACTTAAGTCTTTTTCTCAGCTCTTTGACCTTGCCCTTTCTATAAATTCCCTGGGTTTCTGGTTACCATTCACCTGAAGCAGCAGTTCCAAAGCCTGCTTGATTTGGTCTCCATGGTGGAGCTGAGCAGAAGTCACAGACCTCTTCTCTCCTTCCAGCAGGAAGTGGGTTAAAAACTAGCATGTGGGCTGGGCGCGGTGGCTCACACCTGTAATCCCAGCACTTTGGGAGGCCAAGGTGGGCAGATCACTTGAAGTCAGGAGTTCAAGACCAGCCTGGCCAACATGGTGAAACCCCGTCTCTACCAAAAATATTAAAAAATTAGCTGGGTGTAGTGGCGCACACCTGTAATCCGAGCTACTCGGGAGGCTGAGGCAGGAGAATCACTTGAACCCAGGTGGTGGAGGTTGCGGTGAGCTGAGATCGCGCCTCTGCACTCTAGCCTGGCGACGAGTGAAACTCTGTCTCAAAAAAAAAAAAAAAAAAGAACCTGAGTCCCTGACTTCATTGTGCCATTAACAAAAAACAAACAACAACAACAACAAAAAAAACAAACAAACAAAAAAAATAACTAGCTTGTGGTTTGCAACTACAAAGGGTTATTTTTTGGCTTTTTCTTTTTTTTTTTTTTTGAGATAGGGTCTCTCTCTGTCGCCCAGGCTGTAGTGCAGTGGCCCCATCTCGGCTCACTGCAACCTCCACCTCCTGGGTTCAATTCTCCTGCCTCGGCCTCCTGAGTAGCTGGGATTACAGGCATGTGCCACCATGCCCAGCTAATTTTTTTTGTATTTTTAGTAGAGATGGGGTTTCGCCATATTGGCCAGGCTGGTGTCGAACTCCTGACGTTGTGATACATCTGCCTCAGCCTCCGAAAGTGCTGGGATTACAGGCATGGTTTGTAATTTGGTTCTCTTTCTGGAATAACCAGTGCTAAGCAACCCATTCTCTCCCAGTTATAATTCTGATGCAAGTATCTTTTTAAAGGTACTGAATTTTGCAGCTATAGCTTAGCTCTGTGCTTCCTCCACTTCACACTTTAGCTGAAAGTCAGGATAGAAGGTCATCTTAGTTTTAATGAGGACCGTGCTGTCCTGGCTAGGCATTGCTTTTGGTCTTCTAAGATACAGTACAAAAGTCAGAATTCTGTCCTTTGACACCATCTAATTTGCTGGTTTGTTTTCAATATCTTTGTTTCCTTTTATTTCCTCTTGAACATTTATTTGTTGAGTAGTCAATAGTTACACAGGGTACAAAATACAAAAGTTGTAAAAGGATATTCAGTGGAAAGCCAGTCTCCTACTCTTAACTTCCAACCCTCAGTCCCTCTTCTTAGGCACCCACAATTACCAAAGTCTCTCTGCAGGTTCAAAACCATGAGTATTAAACAAACAAACAAACAAGAAAAGCCACACATGGTGATGTTGTTTTGCACCTTGATTTTTTTTTCTCTTATCTATCTCTTGGTGATAATTCCCTGTCAGTCACATGGAGTTGTCTCCCTTTTTTTTTAACTAGCTGCCTGTGGTTGTTCTGTAATGTAGCCAGAACCCCTATTGGTGGACATTCAGGTTGTGTCTGGGTTTTTAGTCTTTTTGTTTTCATGGACAAACTGTTAACCAGATGAAGAGAGGTAAAAATAGCTCTTATGTCCTGAAAACAACTTCAGGTTGCCACCGATTCTGTAAGATCTTATCAGGCTGTAAGACGCTTCCCATATAAGTCAGCCGGTGAGTGTTCAATGGCTCTTGGCAAGCTTTCTGTCAGATCTTGGATCCATGTTCAGGGAAACTGTAGAGCTCCTAATCAGCTGTATCAGGCATACATATGGCTAATTCTGAATGCCCAGCTCTGTGTTCCCTTCTCCCTTTTCTCCTCTCTTTCTATGCTATATATGAAAAAAATAGAAGAATAAATAGCAGAACCAAAAAGTGGTATAAGAGTTTGGAGGAAAGAGACTTATGTAAACTGGAGAACCAAAAATATATAAATATATTGGAGGTAATATTTGAGTAGGGCCAGGCCAGGGGTTGATAGAAAGGAGGAGTTAGTAAATTAAAGGCAAGGAAAACAGAAAGAGCAAAGGCAAAGGGAGGTGGCCACAGCTCAAATTCAGCAGACCGTGAGATCAAGCAGACTGGAACAAACGTTTCATGCTGAGGAGCACAGGCAGATGAGATAGGACAGATAAAGTGGAGTGTGATTCTGGAGGATCTGAATACATGGATGGCAAGCTTATATTTACTCTTAGAGGGTCTAAGATAAGTCTGGATATCCGGTATTCCCAACTTGTTCTTTTTTAGGAGTGCCTTAACTATTATCAATCCTTTGTGCCTCCACATAAAATTTAGAATCATCTTGTCAAATTCTCTTTGGGATTGTACCTGTAATAGCATTGGTTCTATAGATTAATTTAAGGGGAACTGACATCTTTACACTTTTAGCTAACAATGAATATGGTATATCTTCTCATTTACTTACTTTTCTTTTTTTTTAAGACAAGGTCTTGCTCTGTTGCCCAGGCTGGAGTACAGTGGTATGAGCTCAGCTCACTGCAGCCTCAACCTCCCAGGCTCAAATGATCCTTCCACCTCAGCTTCCCAACTAGCTGGGACCACAGGCACATGCCTTCATGCTTGGCTGATTTTGTTTATTTTTTGTAGAAGCAGGGTCTCACTATGTTGCCACAGCTGGTCTTGAACTCCTGGGCTCAAGAAATCCTCCTGCCTCAGCCTCCCAAACTGCTGGGATTACAGGTGTGAGCCACCGCGCCAAGTTTAGGTATTCTTTTTTTTTTTTTTTTTTTTTTTTTTTGAGACAAGAGTCTCACTCTGTCACCCAGGCTGGAGTGCAGTGGCACAATCTCAACTCACTGCAACATCTGTCTCCTGGGTTCAAGCAATTCTCCTGCCTCAGCTTCCTGAGTAGCTAGGATTACAGACCTGCACAACCACACCCAGATAATTTTTGTATTTTTAGTACAGAGAGGGTTTCACCATGTTGGCCAGGCTAGTCTCGAACTCCTGACCTCAAATGATCTGCCCGCCTCAGCCTCCTAAAGTCCTGGGATTACAGGCATGAGCCACTGCGTCAGGCCGGCTTAGGTATTCTTTAACAGCTCTAAATAAAGTTTATTTTCTCTTAGAGGTTTTACTAATCTTTGTATGATATATTTGTTGTAGCTTGTTGCTACTGTAAATGATATTTTCAAATTATATTTTCTGTCTACTGCTATTTTAGAAATCTAATCAATTTGGAAATATTGATTTTATATCTAATAAATTTACTCCTATCACCTGGCAGGATTTGCAGAATAATTGCCCAGAACTAGAATATTGATCCAGATTTTTACATTACCCAGCCCTTTTGTTTCTTCTGAACTGCAGCTGGAGATTGCTGGTTGGTTCGCAGGAATAAGCAGGGTTACTCTAAAATGTACCACTCAAAGATGGGCATGACAGTGTAAAAAAAACAATTAGGGAAGGGTAGGTATACGTAAAATAGGTGAAGGGTGGGATCCATCAGAGGAAAGTGCACCAAATGGGAAGACAGGTTTTTGATCTGGTCTGAGAATTTACCTGGGACTGTCTTCAGCTTGAAGGTTGGGTTTCACCAGGGACCCACCCCTATCTGCTTAGGCATTTGTCTGCCTCCTGTCACTATCACTATGAAGAAATAATTTTGACTGGGTAATTTAGAAAGAAAAGAGGTTTAACTGACTCACAGTTCCCCATGGCTGGGGAGGCCTCAGGAAGCTTACAATCATGGTAGAAGGCACCTCTTCACAGGGTGGCAGAAGAGAGAATGAGTGCCAGCAGGGGAAATGCCAGACACTTATAAAACTATCAGATCTTGTGAGAACTTACTCACTATCATGAGAACAGCATGGGGGAAACCACCCCCATGATTCAATTATATCCCACCAGGTCCCTCTCATGACACGTGGGGATTATGGAGATTAAAATTCAAGATGAGATTTGGGTGGGGACACAGCCAAACCATACCATCCTACTCCTGCCCCCTCCCAAATCTCATGTCCTCACATTTCAAAACATAATCATGCCTTCCCAACAGTCCCCAAAAGTCTTAACTCATTCCAGCATACACCCAAAAGTCCAAGTCCAAAGTCTCATTTGAGACAAGGCAAGTCCCTTTTGCCAATGAGCCTGTAAAATCAAAAACAAGCTAGTTACTTCCTAGATACAATGGGGGTACAGGCACTGGGTAAATACACCCATTCCAAATGGGAGAAATTGGCCAAAACAAAGGGGCTACAGGCCCCATGCAAGTCCACAAACCAATAACAGCAGTCATTAAACCTTAAAGTTCCAAAATGATCTCCTATGACTCCATGTCTCACATCCAAGTCAAGCTGATGCAAGAGGTGGGCTCTCATGGCCTTGGGAAGCTCCACCACTGTGGCTTTGCAGGGTGCAGCGCCCCTTCCAGCTGCTTTCACAGGCTAGCACTGAGTGTCTGCAGCTTTTCCAGGTGCATGGTGCAAGCCGTCGGTGGATCTACCATTCTGGGGTCTGGAGGACAGTGGCCCTCTTCTCACAGCTCCACTAGGCAATGCCCCGGTGGGGACTCGGTGTGGGGTCTTCAACCCCAGATTTCCCTTCTGCACTGCCCTAGCAGAGGTTCTCCATGAGGGCTCCATCCTTGCAGCAAACTCCTACCTGGATATCCAGGCATTTCCATACATCCTCTGAAATCTAGGTGTAGATTCCCAAACCTCAATTCTTGACTTCTGTGCACCCGCAGGCCTAACACCATGTGGAAGCCACCAAGGCTTGGGGATTGCACCCTCTAAACCAATGGCCTGAGCTGTACATTGGCCCCTTTTGTCCATGGCTAGGACACAGGGCACCAAGTCTGGAGACTGCACAAAGCAGCAAAGCCCCAGACCTGGCCCACAAAACCATTTTTTCCCTCCTAAGCCTTCAGATCTGTGATGGGAGGAGCGGCCATTAGGACCTCTGACATGTCCTGGAGACATTTTCTCCACCATCTTGGTGATTAACATTTGGCTTCTCATTACTGCAACTGGTCATGTGGGCATAGCTGGTATTGATGACTACCTTCTTCTACTACCCCTTCTCTATTACCTTTGCCTTCAGCAAGCACCTCAGGGGGTCATGGTTTTTACCTGGTGTAGTGACTCAAACTTTCATTCCTGAAGGGTCTGGGCCATTCGTAGTCCTGCCTGGATTGGGTTGTTGTAGTTTCTGATTGACCCTAATCATAGGGCATGGTAATACTAAGAGACGCCCTAAGGAATGTCCTGTATTCCATGCATACTCTTCCTTACCTCCATTGTGGAGTAGCAGACTGATTTCATCTTGATAGTTTGGGTAAATCATCTTAGCCAGCACTGTAACTCCTTTCTTAGCCTGTTGACTTAGAAGTAGGAGGAGCCCAAAGTGGCCAAGTGGCAGTCTTAACTTCCACTTTAATGGAACCATTGTGTGTCTCCTGGTGGCAGCATTCCTCCCTCTGGAACTAAGACCTCTAGGCCAGCAGAACGTAATGTAACTGCAACAGGAAGCAAAAATTTTGCTAGTGGGTCACTAGGGGTGATGGTGAGTGGTACCACTTCCACTTCCACCCCTTGATTCCTGGACCCATGAATCCTGGCTATGGGAGAAATAGTACCACATTTTGGAAGCTAATTCAGGGCATATACAACCTTCCGGAGAACTTTGACCCAGCCCTGCAAAGTACTGTCACCTAGTTGCCATTGTAATTGTGACTTCAAAAGGCTACTCCACTGTTCTATTAATCCAGTTGCTTCAGGATGATGGTGAACATGGTAAGACCACCAAATTCCATTAGCATGAGCCCACTGCTGCACTTCTTTAGTCACAAAGTGCCTTGATCAGAGGCAGTGCTGTGTGGAATACCAAGACAGTGGATAAGGCATTCCATGAGTCCATAGATGTTTCTATGGACTGCAATTCCATATGCAGTCTACTATGCAATTCTTCTAGGCAGAAGCATTGCAGGCAGGATAGGCAAAACCATATTCAGAGTAAGTGGCTATTCCAGTGAGGACAATCATATTTCCATGATGGAAAGGTCCAATATAATAAACCTGCCACCAAGTAGGTGGCTGATCACCCCAAGGAATGATGCTATATCAAGGGCCCAGCATTGGTCTTTGCTGCTGGCAAATTGGGCACTCAGCAGTGACCATAGAAAGGGCAGCCTTGGTGAGTGGAAGTCCATGTTGCTGAACGCATGCAAAACCTCCGTCTCTGCCACCATAGCCACTTTGTTCATGAGCCCATTGGGTGATGACAGGGGAGGGTGGGGAAAGAGACTGAGTGGTATCCACAGAACAAGTCATCCTATCCACTTGATTATTAAAATCCTCCTCACACTCTGATGAGCACTCACATGGGATACAAATATCTTCACAGTTTTTGACCACTCAAGAGAGGTCCACCTACATACCTCTTCCCCAAATTTCTTTGTCACCAATTTTCCAATCATGCTTCTTCCAAGTCCCTGACCATCCAGCCAAACCATTGGCTACAGCTCATGATCATTTCTCCTTCCAAGCAAAGTGCACAACCAGGTGCTCTGCTTGAAGTTCTGCCCACTTGGAAGATTTCCCTTTGCCACTGTCCTTCAGGGATGTCCTAGAAAGAGGCTGTAGTGCTGCAGCTGTCCACTTTCGGGTAGTTCCTGCATATCATGAAGAATCATCTAGAAACCAGGCCCTAGTCTTCTCTTCCTCTGATCATAGGTAACTCTCTATGAGGCCATCAGTGAAGGCTTGGGGAGAGAAGGCAGGGTGGCAGGAGTGGAGACCATGGGCATTTGAACCACTTCCTCATGTAACTTACTTGCACCTTCAGGACCTGCTTGAGCCTGATCCCATATATACCACTTCCATTTGATGATGGAATGCTGCTGTGCATAACCCACTTTATGGCTAGATGGGTCAGAAAGCACCCAGTTTATGATAGGCAGTTCAGGTTGCATGGTGACTTGACGATCCATAGTCAAATGTTCAGTTTCCACCAAAGACCAGTAACAGGCCAAGAGCCGTCTCTCAAAAGGAGAGTATTTATCTGCAGAAGATGGCAGAGCCTTGCTCCAAAATCCTAGAGGCCTCCACTGTAATTCACCGATGCAGGCCTGCCAAAGACTCCAAACAGCATCCTTATCTGCCACTGACACCTCAAGCACCATTGGATCCACTGGGTCATATGGCCCAAGTGGCAGAGCAGCTTGCATAGCAGCCTGGACCTACTGCAGAGCCTTCTCCTTTCTGGACCCCACTCAAAACTGGCAGCCTTTCAGGTCACTCAATAAATGGGCAGGAGTAACACCCCTAAATGAGGAATGTGTTGCCTCCAAAATCCAAATAGGCCCACTAGGCACTGTGCCTCTTTCTTGGTTGTAGGAGGGGCCAAATGCAGCAACTTATCCCTCACCTTAGAAGGAATATCTAATACTCCACAGGCCCCACAGCACTGGACTCCTAGAAATTTTACTGAGGTGGAAGGTCCCTGATTTTTAGTCAGGGATTTTAGATTTTAGATTTATTTCCCATCCCCTGGCACACAAATGTCTCACCAGTAAGTCCAGCGTGCTTGCTACTTCTTGCTCACTGGATCCAATCAGCACAATGTCATCAATGTAATGGACCAGTGTGATATCTTGTGGAAGGGGAAAATGATTAAGATATTGTGAAAACTCACTCACTATCACGAGAACAACATGGGGAAAACCGCCCCCATGATTCAATTACCTCCTACCAAATCCCTCCCACAACACATGAGGATTATGGGGTTTACAATTCAAGATAAGATTTGGATGGGGACACAGCCAAACCATATCAACATCCAAAACTACAGCGTGTTCAAAACAGATCTTGTCACTGTTTAAATAGCTCTCCTTTGGGGTCTCATTTCTGTCAGAGTAACTGTCATCATCTCAGCCACTCGGGCTCCAGAACGTGGGGTCAGCCTTCACTCCACTTTCTCGGTTTGCCCCACACCTAGCAGTCACCAAGAAGCTGTTCCTATTGTAGTTTTTTCATCTCTTCCTTGCTGTCCATTCCCATTGCCATTGTCATGTAGGTATTTATTGCCAGATGCCTAGGAACTACTGGGCTTCTGATGGCTAACCATAACCTACATAACCTTCTTTTCTTTTCTCTCTCTTTTTTTTTTTTTAAGACCAGGTCTCACTCTGGCAGCCAGGGTGGAGTGCAGTAGTGTTGATCTCAGCTCACTGCAGCCTCAACCTCCCTGGCTGAAGCGATCCTCCCACCTCAGCCTCCTCAGTGGCTGAGACTACATGTGTGTTCCACCATCCCTGGCTTTTTCTTTTCTTTTTTTTTTTTTTTTTGAGACAGAGTCTCGCTCTGTTGCTCAGGCTGGAGTGCAGTGGTGCGATCTCAGCTCTCTGCAACATCCACCTCCCAGGTTCAAGCGATTCTCATGCCTCAGCTTCCTGAGTGCCTGGGATTACAGGCATGCACAAGTGGATAGGGTGACTTGTTCTGTGCACCACCATGCCTGGCTACTTTTTTTTTTTTTTTTTTTTTTTTTTTGGTACAGACAGGGTTTTGCCATTTGGGCCAAGCCAGTCTCAAACTCCTGACTTCAAGTGATCCACCCACCTCAGTATTCCAAAGTGCTGGGATTACAGGTGTGAGCCATCATGCCTGGGCTAATTTTTTTATTTTTTGTAGAGATGGGGTCTCCCTGTGTTGCCCAAGCTGGTCTTGAATTCCTGGGCTCAAGTGATCCTCCTGCCTCAGACTCCCAAAGTTCCAGGACTACAGGTGTGTGCCACCACACCTGGCCTTTTTTTAATTTTTATTTTTTTAAGAGACAGGGTCTCTCTATATTGCCCAAGCTGGTCCTGAACTCCTAGTCTCAAGCGATCCTGCCTTGGCCTTCTAAAAATGCTGGGATTACAGATGTGAGCCACCTCACCTAGCCTACTTCTGTCTATTCTTGATACCACTCCCAAATTAGTATTTTTAAATGATGTTTTGTGCATGTTAATCAACTCTCCAAAATGTCTGTCAGTTGCCAAAGAACCGACAGTCACATGTGCTGGCCAGAACGAGTTGCACTCCTTAGCCTGACAATGCACTGCTGTATCAGAAGACCTGGCTTTCAGCCATCTGTTTCTTCAACAAATGCTAGCTAAGTTTCCATTCTGTACCAAGCTTTGTCCTAAGTGTTGGGAATATAAGTGAACCAGAGAGACAGTTATTGCCCTCAGTGAACTTGTTGCCTGGTGGGGAAGACAGCCAATTAGATTAACAATTACAGTTCAGGGTGACAAGTGTTGTCATTGAGTCACTTCATGGGGGTTTGTAGAAGCCCGAGGCAGAGCCAAACTTGGGGTGCGTGAATACAAAACAAGTGTCAGAGAAGGCTTTCCCGGGTAAACAACTTTCAACCTCATTTCCCACTATTTCCCTTTTGCAACTTTCTGTTCCATTATTCATCATTCTTTCCATATCTTATCCTTCCCTCAAGGTCCATGTTAAGTTTCTTCCCGGATCTCATACTCATGGTGATCGTCTTCTTCTCAGCTCTGATGGTATTACTAATTGGTGTAGGGGCTATGCTAACTTGAATTTATGTATGTGTTTATACGCATGTACATACACACCCATTAATTAGAATCATACAAAAATTATAGAATACTTAACCATTTTTAGCCCACAAAATGGCAATTCCATATGGTTCAACCATATGACTTGGAAACTTTCCCTAGAGCTATCCCTATATAAATCCACATACAAACTTACAGTTTAGCTTGAAGACATAAACTTATAAGCAGCCCTACAAATGCTCTGTCATATTTCCTACAGTCAAAAAAGTGTAAATTCTCATTTACATATTTTACATCTGATCACATGTACACATATAAACCCACAAAACGACAAATTCATTCACAAACGTCCTCATATAGCATACATTCAATATGCACACACGAAGCCGACAGATGCAGGAAATGCTAATGCACACACTCTCGCACACAAAGTCATTATAACCAACACATGAGTATACCCAGAAGCCCCACACATATGCTTGCATACACACATTCGTACCCAGATATATCCAGAATAATTCCCAAACTTAACAAAGCCAGGCACGTGGGCACCCTCGGGAGAATTTCACCCACTCACTTCTACCCTGTGTTTTTGCAGACCTAAAAAATCAGATAACAAGGTGATACAACTCTGTTTAAAATAGGGATTCATAAGCTCTGAGCAAGGATCTGGAGAACTCTACTGTGAGTAAAGAGCTTATGCTCTTATGCACAGAGTCTGTAACGTTCACCATGGCTACTCAAAGGCCTTTTTTGGGCTTATGCCCTTAGTAAGGTTAATGAGGCATTAGTGTCCCCTGATCCAGGTAAGGCCTTTTTTTTGTTTTGTTTTGAGTCCCTGCCAGGCCAACTTTCCTGCTGGGTTGGGGAAGATGAAAGCCAGTGACGGAGAAGGTGGGCTGGAAGCAGTTATGGGTGTAAATTATGACAAGCAACAGCCAGAGTTGTCCTAGGTGGACAGTCGTGGTGGCAGGGAACTGGCTATAGCTGACAGATCTGAGAGTACAGGGAGGGAAGACTCGTGGTGAGCAGGGGAGGGGGGTCTGTTCCTCTGTCGCATGCGCAAAGCTTCTTGGCTACAGTTTCCCTCTGGCTTGTTTCCCCACCACGCTGTCTCTGTCTGGTTTCCATGGACACCAAGAGCTATCACAGGCACAGCACGAGAAACCCTGAGCAGAGAGAAACATCAGGCTGGGGCTGCGTTTTTAGCTCTTAGGCCCTGTGAAAATTAGGAAGGAACTGTTTCTGTAAACTTTTTTGAAGTGTGACATACTATAGAGGAGCATTATACAGATCATTAGTGTGCAGCCCTCTGAATTCTCATGAAGTGAATACACCTATGTAACCCCCACTCAGATCAAGATCTAGAACATGACCTGCACCCAGACACCCTCCTTATAGCCCTCTTCCATCACTATCCCTGAATATAACCAGAATCCTGACTCCTCGTTCATTGATTAGTTTGATCTGGTTTGAACTTTATATGATTGGAATCATACAGTAATATTCTTTTGTGCCTAGCTTCTTTAACTCATTATTACATCTGTGAGATTCATAGCAGTACCATAGTATTGTATAGCAATGATTTAGTATTCCATTGGAAGAATATACCACTATTTATCCACTCCTCCACTGCCAGACAAATGAGTTGTTACCAGTTGTTTACTATTACTAATAGTAGTGCTACAAATATGCTGGTGCAAAGTGTATATATCTGATAAAGAATATAGATAAATAATATATGTAGAATATATAAAGATTTTTACAAATCAATAAGAAAAAAATAAGCAACTCAATAAAACATTAATTGAACAAGTACTTTTTTTTTTTTTTTTGAGACAGGGTCTCTCTCTGTCACCCAGGCTAGGGTGCAGTGGTGGAATCATAGCTCATTGCAGCCTCAACCTCCTGGGCTCAGGTGATCCTCCCACCTCAGCCTCCCAAGTAGCTGGGCTCACAGGCCTGCGCCACCATGTCCAGCTAATTTTTGTACAGACAGGGTCTCCCTAACGTTGCCCAGGCTGGTCTTGAACTCCTGGGCTCAAGTAAGCCTGCCCGCCTTGGCCTCCCAAAGTGGTGGGATTACAGGTTTGAGCCATTGTGCCGTGCAACAGGTAATCAACATAAGAAGAAACGACCTTTAAAAATACGAAAAGGCACTCAATCTCATTAGTCACCAGGAAAATGCAAATTAAAACTACACTTAGATACTACTACAAATGTCTAAGGAAGGCTAAAATTAAAAGACTAGCAAAATTGAGGGGCCAATGAGAATTTTGAACAGCTGGAACTCTCATTCACTGTTGGTAGGAGTGTAAATTGACAGCCACTTTGGAACACTGTTTGGCAGTACCAACCAAAGCTGAACAGACGTACCCTATGACAAAGCAATTCAACTCCTAGGTATATACCTCTTAGAAATGTGAGTACTGTATAAGTAATGTTGATGGACTTCAACTGCAAAATGTTAAAATTGAGTCAAGCTGCTAGTATGCATAATCAATCAGCAGCAGAATGATCATTTAAAATATTCTTTCAGGGCCAGGAATGGTGGCTCATGCCTGTAATCCCACCACTTTGGGAGGCCAAGGCGGGTGGATCACCTGAGGTCAGGAGTTCAACATGTGCCTGGCCAACATAGTGAAACCCCGTCTCTATTAAAAATTCAAAAATTATATGGGGGTGGTGGCACATGCCTGTAGTCCCAGTTACTCAGGAGGCTAAGGCAGGAGAATCACTTGAACCCGGGAGGCAGAGATTGCAGCGAGCTGAGATCACGCCGCTACACTCCAGCCTGGGTGACAGAGTGAGACTCTGTCTCAAAAAAAAAAAAAAAAAAAAAAAACAAAAAACCTTTTTCAGTTGTCCATTATAAGCAATATTGTTGGCTAGATCACTTTGGGAGGCTGAGGCAGGAGGACAACTCAAGGCCAAGAGTTCAAGACCAGCCTGGTCAACATAGCAAGTCGTCTCTGCAAAAAAGAAAACAAAATTAGCCTGGCGTGGTGGCATATGCCTGTAGCCCTAACTACTTGGGAGACTCAGATGGGAGGATTCCTTGAGGCTAGGAGGTTGAGGCTGTAGTGAGGTATGATCATACCACCACACTCTACCCTGGGTGACTGAGCAAGACCCTGTGTCTAAAAAGGTAAAACAAAAACCAACATTGTTCGCAATTTTGAATTGTTATCCAAAACTTTTTTATTTTTTTGAGACAAGGTCTCGTTCTTTCACCCAGGCTGGAGTGCAATGGCTCGATCCCAGCCCATTGCAACCTCTGCCTCCCAGGTTCAAGTAATCCTCCCTCCTCTGACCCCAGACCAGCTGGGACTACAAGTGCCTGCCACCACACTCAGATAATTTTTGTATTTTTTGGTGATTGTCTCATTATGTTGCCCAGGCTGGTCTTGAACTCCTGACCTCAAGCAATACACCAACCTCAGCCTCCCAAAGTGCTAGGATTACAGGTGTGAGCCATCGCACCCAGCCAATCCACAACTTTTTAATATATCTCTCCTGTATATTTACCCAAATTATTAAAGAGAGCTGGGTTAAAAAGTAGAGCCCTGTGCCATAGCTCTAAAGATTTCCCTCCTTTCTTTTCTTTCCTTTCCCTTCTCCCTCTCCTTCCCTCCCCTCCCCTTCCCTCTGCTACCCTTCCTTACCTTTCCCTTCCTTTCCCTACATTTTTATTAGGCAATTGGGTGCCATTAACTGCAATTAGATACGTAGGTGGAAACACTGGTTTGTGCCAAAATCTCCTCTCTATGAGGAGCCAGAGCAGTATGGCTGGAGAGTCTCAAGATCTAGAGAAGGGTGTTTTAGGCAGAGGTCTATATACAAAGGCCATGAGCTGCAAGTGAACTTGGCATTCAAAGAACAGAAGGAAGATAGCATTTGAGCACTACTAGTAATCTGCTAGGTACCCCAGGATATCTCCCAAGAAATTGGCAGCTTGCTCTGAGCTCAAATTTCTTGGCGGGGTTAATGACAATTTTCTACCTGTCCATATTACTGAATATCACTTGTTATGTGTTCCTTATTGCTACATTCCACTGCTTGTTGGCATCTTTGCTTCATTGTCTTGGCACTTTCAAGATGGCTCAATCCCATAGCTGGCAAGTTGGTGCTGATTGTCATATGGGAGCTCAGCTGTGGTTGTGGGTGTGAGTGGGGAGCTCGTTTCTCTCTCCATGGTCCTCTCCATGAAGAGCTGGAATCTTCACAGTTTGGTGGCTAGATTCCAAAAGTGAGCATTCCAAGAGAACCAGAAGGAAATTGCATTGCCTTTTATGACTTAGTTTTGGAGGTGGCATAACGTCACTAACACCATAGTTACAATTCCACCCAGATTCAAAGGAGAGGAACATAGACCTATGGAGAGGAGTCTCAATCCTACTGTAAGAATTTCATATGGGAACCTTGAAGACATTATGCTAAGTGAAGTAAGCCAGCCATTCTACTCGTATGAGGTGCCTGAAGTACTCAAATTAATAGAGACAAAAGTAGAATGATGGGTCCCATGGGCTGGGGGGAGGAGAGAATGGAGAGTTAGTGCTCAGTGGTATGGAATGTCAGTTTGGGAAGATGAAAAAGTTCTGGGAAAGATGGCAGTGATGGTTGCACAATGTGAATGTGCTTAATGCCACTGAGCTGTACATTTTTAAATGGTTAAAATGATACATTTTATGTTATGTGTATTTTGCCACTATATAAAAAAAGGTCATATGGAATGGGAAATGTTGTCACAGCCATTTTTGGAAAATACGAACTCCCACACACTTTTTGGGATAGTCTGTAGTAGGATGAATACATGGATATGAACATGGAAGCACAATATCCATGCTCACAGACTCCAAACTAAGACCCTCTACCCCTAATAAGGAAGGTCGGAAGGCTCAGCAGAGTCAGGGTTCTAAGGTTCTTACATTGCTTAGGAGAGACTCATCCCCATGCCAGGTGCTTCTCCAAGATTTCCACTCCCCTCTACCATTTGCCTGGTTTCTGTTACTCTTCAGAATCTCCCAGTAGTTTTTTCCTTCCTTTCCTCTCTTCCCTCCCTCCCTCCCTCTCCCCCCTCCCCCTCCTTCTTCTCTCTCTCTTTTTTTCTTTCTTGAGGAAGAGTCTCACTGTGTTACCCAGATTGGAGTGTGATGGCATGATCTCGGCTCATTGCAATCTCTGGCTCTTGGATTCAACCAATCCTCCCACCTCAGCCTCCCAAGTCGCTAGGAGTACAGGTGTGTACCATCAAACCCAGCTGATTTTTGTATTTTTAGTACAGATGGGGTTTTGTCATGTTGTGCAGGCTGGTCTCGAACTCCTGGCCTCAAGTGATCTGCCTGCCTTGGCCTCCCAAAGTGCTGGAATTACAGGCATGAGCTACCACGCCCAGCCCTGTTATTGTTTTTTAATCAGTGGGAGAATTATCTGAAAGGGTTTACACTACCATACTGGAAGCAGAACTCCTTAAAAAATTGAATTTGTAGTTAAAAACTTTCCCACAAAAACTTGGTCACTGAGAGGAATTACTACCAACTTTTCAGTATGTATATTAGTTTTCTATTGCTGCATAACAAATTACTGCAAATTCAACAGTTTCAAACAACAGACATTAAACATCTTGCAGTCCTGTAGGTCAGATGATAAGGCATACAGAGGCTGGGTTCTCTAGCCCAGAAATCTCACAAGGGGCCAGGATGGTGGCTCAGGCCTGTAATCCCAGCATTTTGGGAGGCTGTGGTGGGAGGCTCATTCGAGGCGAGGAATTTAAGACTAGCCTGGGCAACATAGTGAGAGCTTGCCTCTACAAAAAATAACTAGCCAGGCATGGTGCTACAGACCTGTAGTCGCAGCTACTCGGAAGACTGAGATAGGAGGATCACTTGAGCCCAGGAGGTCAAGGCTGCAGTGAGTTATGATTGTGCCACTGCATTCCAGCCTGGGCAACAGAGAGAGCCTATCTCAAAAAAAAAAAAAAAGTAGGCTGGGTGCAGTGGTTCACGCCTGTAATCCCAGCACTTTGGGAGGCTGAGGTGGGCAGATCGCTTGAGATCAGGAGTTCGAGACCATCCTGGCCAACGTGGTGAAACCCCATCTCTACTAAAAATACAAAATTAGCCGGGTGTGGTGACAGGCGCCTGTAATCCCAGCTACTCGGGAGACTGAGGCAGGAGAATCACTTGAACCTGGGAGCCAGAGGCTGCAATGAGCTGACATCGTGCCACTGCACTCCAGCCTGGGCAACAGAGCGAGACCCTGTCTCAGAAAAAAAAAGTCTCACAAGGCTGCAATGAAGGTAGCAGACAGCTGGGTTCTCATCAGAGCTCAGGAGCTCCTTCCAGGCTCATTCAGGTTTTTGGCAGAATTCAGTTACTTCTGGTTGTAGGACTGAGCTGCTCATTTTCTTGCTGTTGGCTGGGGGTTACTCTTAGCTCCAAGAGGCCACTCTTAGGTCCTTGCTAAGTATCCCCTTCCATCCTGGAGAACCTTCCTCCTATTGAATGCTTCTCACATTTTTAATATCTTTTGCCAGGAAAAGCCCTATCCTACTTAAGGACTCATCTGATTGGGTCAGGCCCATGGAGGATAATATCTTCAGCGTAAAAACAACTGATCTGGGAACTTAATTACCAAAATCCCTTTGTAGCAGCACCCAAATTCATGTTTGATTAACTAACTGGGAAAAGGTATGTGTGTACCAGGGGCCAGGAATCTTAGAGGCCATCTTAGAATTCGGCTTACCACAGTATGCCAGTTAGATTTCATTTATGTCTGTATTTTAAGAGCTTCACCTTCTAAAGTACATAATAAGATATGGATAGTTATAGTATAACTATATTTATAGTTTGCCCCAAAATAATCTGGGGTATAGATGAAACAAGATTGATCCACGTTGATATTGCTGAAGGTGGAAAATGAGTGTTCATTACTTTATTCTCCCTACTTTTGCTAATGTATGAATTTTGGGCCAGGCACCATTGCTCATGCCTGTAATCCCAGCACTCTGGGAGGCCAAGGCAGGAGGGTCACTTGAGCTCAGGAGTTTGAGACCAGCCTGGGAAAGATGGCGAAGCCCCGTCTCTGAAAAAAAAATAAAAAATAAATTTTGTCAGATAAATTATTCCAGAGCATAGAAACATTTTTTAAAACTGTCAACTATGTGTGTGTTGGTGGGATTTTGAGGGACAAGGTCTTGGTCTGTCACCCAGGCTGGAGTGCAGCAGTGAGATCATAGTTCACTGTAACCTTGAACTCCTGGGCTCAAGTGATTCTCCTGCCTGAGTCTTTATTTTTATAGAGACAAGGTCTCACTATGTTGCCAGGGCTGGTCTTGATCTCCCGGCCTCAACAGATCCTCCCACTTCCACTTATGAAAGTGCTGGGATTACAGACATGAGCCACAGCACCTAGCCTATGATGCAAGTATAACATTAGTATCTAAACAAGGCAAAGGTAGCATAAAATTACTTTAGTATTACTTAATAATATTACTTACTTCCAACATTACTTAAGAATATTAATGCAAAAATTCTCAAAACGTTACCTTACAGAATTTGGCAATATATAATAAAAGTAAATTTACATTTACCTTTGACCCAGTAATTCCATTTTTTAAAGAATTTTACCTTGAAGACATACCCATAATAGTACAAAAATACATAAATGCCCCTAAATATATTAACTGAAAAAAAATGTATATACACACAATGGGATACTGTGCTGTGTAGCTATAAAAAAGGAGTATGATCTTTTTTTACATAATAGTGAAATAGCATGTGGTCCTTTCCAGAATATATTAAGTGTAAAAGCAAATTTCAAAATTGTGCACACACATACAATGTTACTTTTTTGTGTCATAAAGAGAAATGAGAAAATATACATGTAACTGTCTATTTTCTATAAAAAGAAACACAGGAAGGAGTAAATCACAGTCTATGTGATTGGTTGCCCACAGCAGGTAGGTGGGAAGTGGTGAAAAGGATTGGAATGAAGGGTGAAAGTGACACTCATGTGGGTATACTGATTGTATTGCTTTAACTTTGAATCTGTTAATGTTTTACATACCCAAAAACGTTAATAAAGTCACTAATCATGAGGGGCAAAAAACTGAAGCTACAATACTAAAGAAACAAATGAGCTTAATTGTATTTCGAATGCAAACCATAACCACACTGAAGAAGGAAAAAAAAGGATTAACCCAACTAACGTTTGAACACAATACTTATACTATATGACAAACTGTATTTGTCAGTTTTGGACAAAAAGTCATAAACAAATACTGAACTCTAGTTCAAAGGGCTTTTGTTTTTTAAAATGGTATGGGTTAGCAACTCTGAAACTACTTCCTATGTAGTGTAGGATTGAGCAAATGAGTAAATATACTGAGGATAAAAGGAGCCAAGTTTCTCACTGTTGAAGCAGGAAGTCATAATTATGGAAAGGGGGAAGACTAGAACAAATCCTGTTATGCTAAAATGCATTGGTATTATCCATATAAACTATACTTTAATAAATGGATTCAGATGCATGTATATATGTACATATATCTCTTTTTTTGGCTCAATCAACTGAAAGGTCCAAAAGCAAAGACACTCTAGTACTACTGAGAACACCTAGCACCCAGATCTTGGTTTCTAAATACCATCCTCCATTAAAAGGATCCTTGGAAGCAGGGCTTGTTGCTGTGCTAAGAAAGTAAGAAAGTGACTGGGCATGGTGGCTCAAGCCTGTAATCCTAGCACTTTGGGAGGCTGAGGCGGGTGGATTGCCTGAGCTCAGGAGTTCGAGACCAGCCTGGGAAACCCCATCTCTACTAAAATACAAAAAATTAGCCAAGCCTGGCGGCATGCGCCTGTAATCCCAGCTACTCAGGAGGCTGAAGCAGGAGAATTGCTAGAACCTGGGATGCGGAGGTTGCAGTGAGCCGAGATTGAGCCACTGCACTCCAGCCTGGGCAGCAGAGCGAGACACTGTCTCTAAAAAAAATTTAAAAAAAAAAAAGTAAGAAAGTGCTAAACAAACACAGAAACAACAACAACAACAAAGGTGAAGACATCAAAAGGACATACGAGCCAACCTGAGTATCAAAATAAATAATAATATTCATGGAGTAAAATAAGCATATACAAGGCCATACTGATACAAATGAATGAATGAGAAAGGAAAGCTTTTCCTTATGGTAGAATACCAAGTAATAAATATAAATGGAATGATGGAGTTGGAAAATCAGCATTTTGCGTCCATCATAGTAATAATCTCTTCAGCCATAAGTAATCACTGGATTCTAAAAATTTGTGGGTGAAAGTTCAGTGAAGAAAGGATAGCCATATAATCTCCAAGTATCCCTTTAAAAACTACTTATTACAAAGGGAAAAGTCACTTTACTGTAGATCAGCTTCATGAACCCCACCTTAACCAATGAACTAAAGTAAGCATCATTAATAAATGGAAAAAATTGGCATCCCAACTGATATGCTGCCCAAAAAGGACATAGTATCTTTGTTTGTTTAGATGGAGTCTTGCTCTGTCACCCAGGCTAGAGTGCAGTGGCATGATCTCGGCTCACCGTAACCTCTGCCTCCCAGGTTCAAGCAATTCTTGTGCCTCAGCCTCCCGAGTAGCTGGGACTACAGACACGTGCAACCATGCTCAGCTAATTTTTTTGTACTTTTGGTAGAGACACGGCTTCACCATGTCGGCCAGGCTGCTCTCGAACTCCTGACCTCAGGTAATCTGCTCACCTTGGCCTCCCAAAGTGCTGGGATTACAGGTATGAGCCACCGCACCTGGCCCATAACATCTTTTCTGTGGTATTCCAGCCAAATATAACATAACTGACTCTAATTTCAAGAATACACAAACAAACACAAATTGAGGAATATTCTAAAAATAACCGTCATTTTGAAAGAAAAAGAAAAGCTGAGGAACCATTCCAGCTTAAAGACTAAAGATATGTAACTAAATGATCCTAGATTAGATCCTAGACCAGTTGACCAAGTCAAACACAGCTATAAAGAATATTATTGGGACAAATGGTGAAATTTGAGTGTTAACTGTGAATTAGATAAAAGTTTCCCAAATTTTCTTTGTTCACAGTGCTTTCAGCATCTCAGGGTTTTGTTTTGTTTTGTTTTGTTTTGAGAGGGAGTCTCGCTCTGTCACCCAGGCTGGAGTGCAGTGGTGCTATCTCGGCTCACTGCAACCTCCGCCTTCCAGGTTCAAGGTATCCTCCTGCCTCAGCCTCCCGAGTAGCTGGGATTACAGGCGCCTACCACCACATCCAGCTAATTTTTTGTATTTTTTAGTAGTGACGAGGTTTCACTGTGTTAGCCAGAATGGTCTCGATCTCCTGACCTCGTGATCCGCCCGCCTCGGCCTCCCAGAGTGCTGGGATTACAGGCGTGAGCCACTGCGCCCGGCCCAGTGTACTCACTTTTCATCACAACCAACTGGAAAGCCTAGATGCCCCAAGACATGACATAGCCAAGGAATTTGGCGCCATCTATTGTTGAAACTGTAAACAACTTCAAGCTAGTAGTTTTGTACAGTCATTTAGATTTCATTTTGTTTGCCTTGAAAATTTAGAATGCAAGCTATTCCACAGATATCCCCCCGTGGATTTACTGTGGGGATGTGAGGTACCTCAGTGTACAGTTTGATTCAAACCACAGGATTTTATAATAGTGCTGTATAAATGCTGCATTTTCTGATTTTGATAAATCACTGTTGCCATGTAGAAGAAAGTCCTTCTGAGGAAACACACATTATTTATGGATAAAGAAACAAGCTGGCTGGGCACATTGGCTCATGCCTATAATCTCAGCACTTTGGGAGGCTGAGGCAGGAGGACTGCTTGAGCCCAGGAGTTCAAAACCAGCCTGGGCAACACAGTGAGACTCCTTCTCTAAAAAAAAAGAAATACATATATAGGTAAGTATGACATATATTCATATATGTATATATACACACTATATATATATGTGTATATATTATATATGTCTTTATATATATTTTTGAGCAATTCTCCTGCCTCAGCCTCCCAAGTCACTGGGATTACAGGTGCCTGCCACCACATCTGGCTAATTTTTGTATTTTTAGTACAGATGGGGTTTCACCATGTTGGCAAGGCTGGTCTCGAACTCCTAACCTCAAGTGATCTACCCGTCTTGGCATCCCAAAGTGCTGGGATTATAGGTGTGAGCCACCCAGCTGGGCCTGTGTTTATATCTATCTATGTATATCTATCTATTAAAATGTCTGCAAATAAACCTCAAACTACTCAGAAACATTTGAGTATACATGTACATATAGATAGCACAAGTGATAGAAAAAATGGGACAAAATGTTAACAACTGATGAATTTGGATAAAGGGTAGACAAGATTTTTTGGTCTCATTCTTGAAATTTTCTGTGTAAAATTATTTCAAAACAGTTTTGAAAGATGAAATGCAATACTACATTTTAAGGTATATATTCATATATAGTAAAACAATTTTAAATGCCTGGAAATTAAAGCAGCATTCAGATTGTTGCAACTGTTTGTAGAGAGGGAAGAGGGATGTATTGGGAAAGGCTACGCACAGTATCAGTGATGTTTTCTTGTTTCATTTATTTATTTAGAGACAGGGTCCAACTTTGTTGCCCAGGCTGGAGTGCAGTGGCACGACCACAGCTCACTGTGGCCTCAACCTCCCAGGCTCAGGTGATTCTCCAACCTCAGCCTCCCGCGTGGCTGGGACTACAGGCTTGGGCTACCACAACGGCTTTTTTTTTCGTAGAGACAGGGTTCTGCCATGTTGCCCAGGCTGATCTCAAACTCCTGGGCTCAAATGATCCACTGGCCTTGGCCTCCCAAGGTGCTGGGATTATGGGGTGGGCTACCATGCCCAGTGGTGATATTTTATTTCTTAAATTGGGTGGGGGATACATGGCTATTCATTCCATTATACTTTATACCTTTAAGTATGTCCTAAATATTTCATAATTTACTTTCTAAAAATACACATTAAAAAGATGTAGGATTTTTCTTAACACATAAAAAAGTATGAGCAAATGAGAGCATGTGGCTGCTGTTTGCTGGGAGACTACTACGTACTTCCTGTGCATTATCTCCTACAATCCTTATCACCACCTCATGCCTACAACATATGCCAAGATTAAGTGTATCGGGCTGGCTCCAGAATCCATGCTCACACTATACCTCCCAGGTCCATACTATGGAAAAAGCAGCTAACTCGTGCTGATTTTTATTTTTTTATATTCAAAGAGTGGGGGAAAAAAAACAACTTTCTTGCTCTTTCGATTCCAAACTAATTTAATACACACAGTAGAAAATGTAGCTATATACAATAAAGTGTCAAAAGCATCAATATGGGCCGGACGCTGTGGCTCATGCCTGTAATCCCAACACTTTGGGAGGCAAAGGCAGGAGGGTCACCTGAGGTCAGGAGTTCGAGACCAGCCTGGCCAATATGGTGAAACCCCGTCTCTACTAAAAATACAAAAATTATCTGCGTATACCGGTGGGTGCCTGTAATCCCAGCTACTCGGGTGGCTGAGGCAGGTGAATTGCTTGAACCCGGGACACAGGGGTTGCAGTGAGCAGAGATTGTGCCACTGCACTCTAGCCTGGGCAACAAGAGGGAAACTCTGTCTCAAAAACAAAAACAAAAACAAAAAAAACCCCATCAATATGAAAAAAATAGTAATCAATTTAAATCTGTGGCATGTTTTACTGCTTAGTCTCAACAGCACCATACTTAATCAATCATAACAGCTGAAGATTTGACATTTTATAATTATTCTTCCACAATACCAGTTACCCTATTACAGGGCCAAAGGTGAACTGTCGAAGAAATTACATGTTTAGTAATTTGATTTATTAAATCATACTGAGAAGTTAGCATGTGGATTCTTTTAAGCTTTAAAACTATCCAAATTCTAACCAGGACTTATATTTCATATTTGTAAATAATTTTAGAAGCTTCAGTGAATTAAGTTATATTATTTGATTATCAAAACAATCCAGAATAAACTTGTCTTAAAAAAAACTTAATGTTTAAAAAACACATTTTAAAATTAAAATGTGGAAAATCTGACTTTACTGTGAAATGTTGAGCCTTTGCTCATTGCCTTCCTGTAATGCACTTCCCTTAAGATGTTTAAAGTTAGGTGAGAAAAGAAGCAATGCTACTTTTGTCTTTGTAATATACAGGGAAATTGGCAGCCATTTTTTTTCAGGGCACTATAAATAATCATTGTCAAGTTCTATTTATCTTCTGTAACTGAAGATATTCACTGAAAAAAAATTACCGTTCCTGTCAGACTGACTTTTATTCAAGCACTGTCACATTGTCAGCTAAAGGGAAGGGGAGAGCAGACGTCGAGGTCACGTTCGAAGCGAACAGCGGGGAGCTGAGGAAACTGACGTCCACAGCTCCAGCCTGGCTTAGCGTTAACACCTGCAGTAGACCAAGCCTTTCTCCCACAGAGGAGTCAACAAATCCATCAGAGATCTGTAATAGGAGGGCCAAGACTAAACACTCTTGCCTTGACTCCAAATAGACAACTCCATTTAAAATAAAAAACAATAGGAACCAGATTCAGAATCGCTTCACGCCTTGCCCAAGGCCCTCTTCCAGAACCAGGGTTCCGACCTCCCCACTTTCCTGGCTTTGGGGTCTGCCTCTCGGGGATCTCGAGCAAGGGGAACAAAATATTGGAGGGGGAAGAGGAGCAGCAGCCCGGCCCATGGAACCGAAAAAGAATCCAGAAAAAAAAAAAAACACTCCCAAACGGACGAGACACTACCAGACCCGCCCTGAAGAGCCAATACATTTCCACCACTCGGCTGCGAAAGCAACAAACGCCTCCCGTCCGGGCGTCCCTGAAAACAAGGACGCGCTCACCTCGAAGGGTAAACCCAGCCGCCCCCCAACGCCGCCTTCCCGTCAGGGGACGAGGCCTTAGAAACTCGGTAACTGCAGTCGCGTCTCCAGGGCCTGCAGATGACGTCAGCAGCCCCGCGCTAGCATCGCGAGACTCCCGTCTCCCTCCCCCGGCTCCCCACGCTCCCAACCGCCCGCGCCTGCTGCCAGGCAGCGGCGGGGATGGCGAGCAGCGGAGGCGAGGCGGTGACGAGAGCAGCGGCTCCGCCATTGGACGAGGAGGCCTGAGGGACGGGCCAGCGGTGCACAAGAAGAGACCGAGGCGGGTGGCCCCGAGAGAGCCAGGGCCATGGAGGCCAACATGCCGAAGCGGAAGGAGCCCGGCAGGTCTCTCCGCATCAAAGTCATCTCCATGGGCAACGCCGAAGTGGGGAAAGTGAGTACAGCGAGCCGGGAGGGGCGGGCCCCAGCGTGGCGGGGCGACGTGTCCATTGGCTGGAAGGGCGGCCACTCAACAGCCTGGGGCCCGGCCTCCTCTCCGCCCCCGAGCAGGCCCGGGTCTCAGCCGAGGGGTGCGGCTCCGCGAACGAAACTCCCCGACCTTTTTGACCTTTCCGTTGCCCCCTCGTCCTCCGACGTCACTCTTCCGGAGATGGTGTCTGGGGTGGCCTCTAAGCCTTGAATGTACCCCCAAAAGAGTAAGAAGGCCTGGGTCCCCATGAGGGGCCGTCGGCCTAGATACCTTGCCCGCGTTCTAGGGGGCCGTCCGGGACCGGGAGATGGAGGATGAAAGTTTAGTTCCCCCAGCCGGGCCTGGGAGCCGGCGGAACGTTATGGGGTGCGTGTGAGAATTTGGGGTTCGCGAAATGGTGCCCGGCAGCCCAGATTCTGCATTCCCGTCACGAGAGAGCGTAACTGACGTTGACGTGTTTCACAGGGGAGGTGCAAGGGATGGCCGGGGTCCGCGCTGTTTTGTTTTGCGTTGTGTTTTATTTTTGGTGGTGTCCCCATATCTGTTAGTTCCACCGCCCTTCTCTCTGCCCCATCTGTGGTTCATCAGCTATAAACTCTCCTTTAGTACGTGGGGAGGGAAGGCCAGAGGTAACCTGAGGCCTTTTCCCTTATGAATTCCAAGACGGCCTCCTCTTCACTCAAATTCTTTCCTTTTGGGCAAGTGGAATCTGTTGGTTAAGAACTTCCCAAGGTCATCAAATCAGTGACCGAGGAAAGATTAGAACCTAAGTCTTCACATTCCCACTGCGGTGCTCTTTCCGTCGTTGTATGCGTTCAAAATCAACTCCGAAAGAGCTGTTAAGGCAGTGCCTAGTCCAGTGCCTGGCACCCAGGAGATGCTCAGTAAATGTTTACTTAGTGTTTTTTATTTCTGTGTAGCATGATCCCGTACTACTTTTGTGTGTATGTGCTAGCATAGTATTCACTGAAAGTCAACATTTTTTTGAACGTCAGCTGTGTACGAGGTGTTTTTTTTTTTCTAGGGACTGGGCACGCTAGCTCAGGCCTGTAATACATCAGCACTTTGGGAGGACGAGGCGGGCGGATCACTTGAGGTCAGGAGTTCAAGACCAGCATAGTGAAATCCTGTCTCTACTAAAAATGCAAAATTAGCCAGGCATGGTGGTGCACGCCTTTAATCCCAGCTACTTGGGAGGCCGAGGCGGGAGAATCGCTTAAGCCGGGGAGGCAGAGGCTGCAGTGAGCCGAGATCACGCCATTGCACTCCAGCCTGGGCGGCAGAGTGAGACGCCGTCTCAAAAAAAAAAAAAAAAAAAAAAGTAATTTTACTGTGCCTAATGATACAACATTAGAAGCAGCTCAGAATGCCCAGTGTCACCACATCTACTTAACATTTTTCTAGTTTTATTAGCCAGTGCAATTAGACAAGAGTAAGAGAATATAAAAATATTAGAAAAGAGAAGGTAAAATTAACATTATTTGCTAATAATACGATTGTTTACCTGGAAACCCAAAGAGAAATAAC
Organism: Homo sapiens; assembly: GCF_000001405.40. Classification (NCBI taxonomy): domain Eukaryota; kingdom Metazoa; phylum Chordata; class Mammalia; order Primates; family Hominidae; genus Homo; species Homo sapiens. The sequence continues at coordinate 24,970,254 of NC_000002.12, read as the reverse complement.
TGAAAAACTATTAGAAACATTATAAAAATTCAATAAAGCAAAATTATTACCCACAAATTAATAACTTTATTGTGTCCAAATTATATTCAGTTGGAATGTGTAATTGAAAAACAATTTTAATTTACAGTTACAACAAAAATAAAGTTCCTAGGTTTAAACTTAACATGAAATAGGCAGCACCTATATGAAGACAAGTTTCAAACTCTACAAAGGGAGATAAATTACTTAGGCAAATGGAAAGATATACTTTTTCCTTACGTGGGATTACACAATATTGTACAGATGTGAATTACTCAACCTACAAATGAAATTCAATTCCAGTGAAAACATCAATAAGGGTTTTTTTTTCCCAGAACATAATACAAGACTACTAAAGTCTTCATGAAAAATTAATGTGAAAACAACAAAGAAAATTGTGGGGAAAAAAAAGAAATGAAAGAAGACCAACTGTATCAGCCATTTAAAAATATTTTTCAGGCCGGGCGCAGTGGCTCACGCCTGTAATTCTAGCACTTTGGGAGGCAGAGGCAGGTGGATTGCCTGAGCTCAGGAGTTCGAGACCAGCCTGGGCAACATGGTGAAACCCCATCTCTACTAAAATACAAAAAATTAGCCAGGCATGGTGGCGCACGCTTGTAGTCCCAGCTACTCAGGAAGCTGAGGCAGGAGAATTGCCTTGAACCTGGGAGGTGGAGGTTGCAGTAAGCCCAGATTGTGCCACTGCACTCCAGCCTAGGCGACAGAGTGAGACTCTAAAAAGAAAAAAAAAATTTTTTTTCACTGTGATGATGGTTTTTCAACGTTCACAGTTTCCACCAGAAAGATTTTCCTTAGTGTTCGGTAAACCTTCCTTGGATGTCTATGAGAGCTTTGCATGCATTCCCATGTTGGTTTCTGTGATGTATAAAAGTAGACCCCCATCTTACAAATAGGAAACTATGCCATGATACCTGAGCCTTGACATCATCACGTTCTCCAGTTTGTGTTTGGTATTGGAAGTTAAAACATGATTCCCTTTTCAAGTTTGGTTCTTGAGAGACTCACATGGTGTTGCTCAAGTACGTTTTGTGACAGGCAATAGCATCTTAAGAATTCTTAAGTCCAAGAAGGGACTTGCTCCTGATCTCCCTGAAGATCTCTACCATTTAATTAAGAAGTAGTTATTGTTCAAAAGCATCTTGAGATGAACAGAAAGGATAAGGATGGTAAATTCTGTCTGATTCTGATAGAGAGGTAGAGTCACCCTTTGGCTCAATATTGTAAGACCAAGCAAATCCTCCCTCCCAGTTGGAAGTGAGTAATCTACAGCCTCTGTCCTGGTCATATAAATTTGTCTATGTACTCAAGCAATAAAATGATTGTTTAATTTAAAAAAAAATTTTTTTTAAGCTACCAAACTTTTCCCATTGGTATTGGGAAGGAAATATGGAGACATCAGTGGAACAGAGTAGAGTCCAGTAATAAACCCAGATACGTAAGGAAATTCAATTTACACAAATGTAGTAAAATTATGGGAAAATAGAGACCATTTAGTAAATATTGTTGTAACAACTGTCTACTATTTGAGAGTAGGTTGGATTCCTATTACATTCCTTTCTCAAAAATAAATTCTAGGCCGGACACAGTGGCTCACGCCTGTAATCTCAGCACTTTGGGAGACCGAGGCGGGCGGTTCACGGGGTCAGATCGAGACCATCCTGGCCAACATGGTGAAACCCCGTCTCTACAAAAAAAATAATAATAATAAATAAATAAATAAATAAATAAATTCTAGATGGATAAAAGATTTAAGTGTAACTTTTAAAAAAACTTATTATTTTGCCTTAGTTGTAAAAGTAACACATACTCATTTTAAAGGATTTGGAAAATATAGGATGATATACAGGTAAAGCATTTTAAAGTTAAAAATTAAGGAATGCCTTAGTAAATAATCATTGACTCAAACAGCAAATTAAAACAAATGACAAAGTAACTAGCAAGCAATGAAATGGAGGGAATATTTGCATATCACAGACTATTGTGTAACCATAAAAAAGTGAGTAGAGCTATTTTAAAGTTAACTTGGGAACCATAATTTATTATTGTTAAGAGAGAAAAGCAAACTCTAGAAGTATGTACAATACTCTGTGAAGTGAGTACTTTTTACTGCAAGTAGGACAAACCCAATTCAATTGATTTAACAGGAAATTTTTTTTCTCTTTTTGAGACAGGGTCTCCCTCTGCCACCCAGGCTGGAGTGCAGTGGCATCATCGTGGCTCACTGCAGCCTCTCCTCCTAGGCTCAAAAAAAAAAAAAAAAAGGAATTAATCTAATAGATATTTAGAGATGTGGATCTGGTCTTGGCAGTGAGGTCAAGGCTAGACAGATATTTTGGTGGTATCGTTGAAAGCATAAGAATAGAAGACATCTTCAGAAGAAAAGAGCACAGGATTGAGAACTCAACTGAAAACATATGCATATTTAGTAATAAGGGAAGAATTTAAAAATAATTTTTCTTAAAATCTTTTAACACTTGTTTCAGTTATTTTATAGTTTTGTCTTTTTTTTTTTTTTAGACAAGCGTTCACTCTTACCACCCAGGCTGGAGTGCAATGGCAGCAATCTCAGCTCACTGCAACCTCCGCCTCCCGGGTTTACACAATTCTCCTGCCTCAGCTTCCCGAGTAGCTGGGATTACAGATGCCTGCCACCATGCCCGGCTGATTTTTGTATTTTTGTAGAGACGGGGTTTCGCCATGTTGGCCAGGCTAATCTTGAACTCCTGACCTCAGGTGATCCACCCGCCTTGGCCTCTGAAAGTGCTGAGATGACAGGCGTGAGCCACCGCGCCCCGCCACTTTTGTCTTTTGAAAATGCTTTTTCATAGTGATGAATGGAGGAACCATAATGAAGAAATATACTTATTCTGTATGTGTTCTCACTATGTATTTACTAAATGCCTGTATTTTTTACCTTTTTAGAGCTGTATTATAAAGCGATACTGTGAGAAAAGATTCGTGTCTAAATACCTGGCAACAATTGGAATTGACTATGGAGTCACAAAGTAAGTATATTGTTTCCCTGGGTTTGTAAGTTACATAGAAGTTCAGAACTTTCCAAAATGATCCATATTTGCATCAGTGCTCTTGTGTAGGTAATCTTGAAATGGAGACTTTGAAGATAAGTTGGGAAAGATAGGAATAGTAGACCTTTACAGGTATCTAGTGATCATATCATTCATTCAGCCTGTGTATTGGTATTGAGCACATCCCATTCACCAGGCCTCGTGTTAGGTGTAGGCTACAGCAATGAACATGTCAACACAAAGCCTAAATGGCAGGTGTAACTTTCCAGGAAACATGTTTTTATATTAGCAGGTCCTTCCAGCAGGTGTGTTTTTAGAGCATTTTGAAATATTCTCTCTAAAAAGTCTATAAATATTGTGTGGAACATTTTCTACCAGAGAAGTTTTTTTATTGGTTTATGATCTTCATAGCTATTAGAATCCAGCAAAAATGGGCCAGATGCAGTGGCTTATACCTGTAATCCCAGCACGTTGGGAGGCCGAGACGGGCGGATAACGAGGTCAGGAGTTCAAGACCAGCCTGACCAACACAGTGAAACCCTGTCTCTAAGAAAAATGCAAAAATTAGCCGGGTGTGGTGGCACACACCTGTAGTCCCAGCTACTCAGGATGCTGAGGCAGGAGAATCACTTGAACCCGGGAGGCAGAGGTTGCAGTGAGCTGAGACTGTGCCATTGCACTCCAGCCTGGGCGACAGTGAGACTTCATCACAAAAAAAGAAAAAAAAAATGAATTGGGAAAAGTAAAGTTGGGTCCAATTGGGGATTTATCTGGAGATGAGTCAGGAGGGGGTTGAGCTTGAAGAGTTGGATATAATTAGCAGGAAATACCCATACAGTAGAATTGGGGTAGATAGCATACTCCTTAAACATGAAATTTCAGGTGTTCACTATCTTGGCCCCACTCTGGCCTTTCCCCTTTTGTCTTTTCTGTTACACACTTTACTTTCCATCCATGCTGAACTGCTACCCTCAGACTTTCTACCTCAGCACCATTATCCAGCCTGTCCACTTGGAACAGCCCTGCCCATTTCTCCAAGATATAAACATTCTCCTGTTCCCGTAAGGTCTTCTAAACATGCCCTTTATTGGTCAGGACTCTTTTTGGTTGCAAATGACAGAAATCCTAAAGTTGTCTATGGTATTTATGGTACTTACCAAAAATTGCCTTGTATTGTTATTATTTGTATATGTGTAATGTCTCCTGCTAGATTATAAACTCCCTGAAAATTTATTAGTATAAATTTTCTCCAAGTGCCTGGCATAGTGCTTATACCTAATAGGTACTCAATAAATATTTATTGTTAGGTAAGATAGGTACATCTAAAGAGGAAGTTTGCCAGATTAGACTATGAGGGCAATATTTAAGAAGGTAGACTAAAGTTTTGACATATAGCTAGCAGAATGTCGATTAGGTGAAGAGTGGAGTCAAGTTCAGATGTATCCTTCATGGCTTTTTAAAGTGGCCCCAGTAAATGGTAGAGTAAAACTCAAGAGTTGTGTGTAATGCTCTTACAGCACCATTTTTCAACTGACAGCAGCAGAGGGTATTTCTGCAAATTTTCTTTAAAGAATGAAAATTGTAGCTCTTGGCAGTGAAATGTATGAAGCTCTTCATTTGAAATTCACATTTCTGGCTTGGCACGGTGGCTCATGCCTGTAATCCTAGCACTTTGGGAGGCCAAGGCAGGCAGATCACCTGAGGCCAGGAGTTTGAGACCAGCCTGGCCAACATGGTGAAACCCTATCTCTACTAAAAATACAAAAATTAGCCGGACGTGGTGGCAGTTGCCTATAATCCCAACTACTTGGGAGGCTGAGGTGGGAGAATCACTTGAACCCCGGAGGCGGAGGTTGCAGTGAGCCAAGATTATGCCACTGCACTCCAGCCTGGGCAACAGAGTGAGACTCCTCAAAAATAAATAAAAATAAAAATGAAATTCACATTCTTTTTTTTTTCTTTTCCCTGAGACAGAGTTTCGCTCTTGTCGCTCAGGCTGGAGTGCAGTGGCGCGATCTTGGCTCACTGCAACCTCAGCTTGCTGCAACTTCCGCCTCCCGGGTTTAAGCGATTCTCCTGCCTCAGCCTCCCAAGTAGCTGGGATTACAGGCACATGTCACCACGCCCAGCTAATTTTTGTATTCTTAGTAGAGACAGGGTTTCACCATGTTGGCCAGGCTGGTCTCAAACTCCTGACCTCGTGATCCGTCCACCTCGGCCTCCCAAAGTGTTCGGATTACAGGTGTGAGCCACCGCGTCCAGCCTGAAATTTACCTTTCTTTCTAGTTTTCTTTTCCTCTTTCCTGCTTCAAAGCATAGGATTTCATCAGTGATATAGTAGGACATCCTATTTAAGATAGTTTTGTTCTGAATTCATATAAGTAGCTAGTTTATTTATCTAAGATGTGAGAATTACCATATTATGCCAAAGGACCATGGTATAGTCAACAGACTATTTTGTTTCTGGCAGAAATTTTTTTGGAAGAGATGTTTGTCCCATGATGAGTCAGGAGGATATAATTGACAGAAACCTATTTCAAACCAACTTAAGCAAAATAAAAGAAAATGGATATTAATCAGTTCACATAATCTAGCAACAAGGATGCAGCTGGGCCTCAGAGATGGCTGGAATCATAGGGAATATAGATAGGTCATTTCACTACATCTCTCTCCCTCTCTACCTGTTGGCCTGGAATAACTTTTAAACATTCATCTTTGTGTTTTTCTTTTGTGTTTGAATTATTTATTTTTCTTTTTTTTTTTTTTTTGAGACGGAGTCTTACTCAGTCGCCCAGGTTGGAGTGCAGTGGCGTGATCTCGGCTCACTGCAAGCTCCACCTCCCGGGTTCATGCCATTCTCCTGCCTCAGCCTCCTGAGTAGCTGGGACTACAGGTGCCCACCACCACGCCCGGCTAATTTTTTTTATTTTTTTAGTAGGGACGGGGTTTCACTATGTTAGCCAGGATGGTCTCGATCTCCTGACCTCATGATCCGCCCATCTCGGCCTCCCACAGTGCTGGGATTACAGGCGTGAGCCACCGTGTCCGGCCTAGTGTTTGAATTATTTCTAATGTTCCTTTATCATTTTCCAATGGTGATTTTTCATGAAAAAAAAGACTAGGAACAAATATGCTATGATGTTAACAGTAGTTAATTCTAATATGAATGGTTATTGTTTCCCCTTTGGTTTTATTCTTTATTTCCAAATATCTGAAAACAAATTCACTATTGCTCTTGCTCAAATAAAGATCACAAGAAAATTAAACAGACGTCATTAATATACATCGTTGTTATTCTGCTGTGTGATAACCAAATATAACCAGTGGTAATTAAGATGTCTCTTACTAAGTGAAATAAAACTTTTCATTTTCCTTCATCTTGCTCCTACTTATCCCAAATCAATTTTTCTTAATACCATAGTAATAGCTACCCTTTGTTGGTTGGGAGCTGTGGACCAAAGTTTCTAGAAGTGAAGGTGAAAGTGAAGTAATTGAGAATGCCTACTCCATGTGGGTTCAGTGTTCTTGGGATAAGAAGGCAGGATCATCTGTCAGGTTGCTGACTGCTATTGTAAAGATGATCTGGAATGAGGAAGAGGCACTAAGAAAGCTTCTTAAATTGCATACACATATCCTTTTGAAATTTATAAATGATATTAAGGTAAATGGAGAAACCATGACTTTCTTTCGGATTGTTTCCATTTGAACATTTCAGGGTACACGTCAGAGACAGAGAAATCAAAGTTAACATCTTTGATATGGCTGGACATCCCTTCTTCTATGAGGTAAGAAAGCCTTTTTGACAAAACCTATATCCAGTATTGTTGGTGGTTTGGGGAGAGATCCAGAATTATATGAAACAACCAATATTGATATCATGTGTAAAATTGCATAATTTTAGCTTGATCGTGGCTTGCCTTCAGAGCCTTGAGTTAATAGACAACTGTTGATCTTTTAGGTTATCCTGTTAAATAGTGGTAGGAAATTTCATTGCCAATATTTCAAACATTTCAATAAGACATTTTGACTTTCAGAGGACTTTTGCTTTTTACCTCATACTTTAGCCTAAAATGTGAAAAAAAAAATAATTACATTTATGCTTGGGCTTAAGAACTCAGTGATGCGACTTCTTTCACAGCAGGGTACTGGGGTGATCGTTCCTATTCATGCCTAGTCATCTGCATTCTTTCCAGAGAAGAAGCTAAAGCAACTACTTGATTTATTTTCATCTGCTTACCAGCTCTAAGTAATCACCAAATGAATCTCATGACCATTCTCTTTTGTTTTTCCTTCCTTGGGCTTTTTCATTTTTCTTAAGGAGGTTTTTTGCTCTTTTCTGGTTTGGCCGTTTCACTTCTGCCTTAATCTTTATCATTTCCTTCTCTCTGCTTGCTTTAAGCTTATTTTGCTCTTTTTGTTTTAGATTCTTGAGGTGGGATCTTAGATTATTGATTTGAGACTTTTTCCTTTTTTAATAAATTCATTTAATGCTACATATTTCCCTCTCAGCACAACTGTGTGTCCCACAAATTCTGAGATGTTGTATTTTCATTTTCATTCAGTTCAATGTATTTCTTTAATTTCCCTTGAGACTTTCTGTTTGATGTATGAGTTATTTAGAAGTGTGTTATTCAGGCCGGGAGCAGTAGCTCACGTCTGTAATCCCAGCACTTTGGGAGGCCGAGAAGGGTGGATCACCTGAGGTCAGGAATTCGAGACCAGCCTGGCCAACATGGGGAAACCCTGTCTCTACTAAAAACACAAAAATCAGCCGGGTGTGGTGGCACATCCCTGTAATCCCAGCTTCCTGGGAGGCTGAGGTAGGAGAATCGCTTGAACAGGCGGAGGTTGCAGGGATCCAAAATCGTGCCACTTCACTCCAGCCTGGGTGAAAGAGTGAAACTCCATCTCAAAAAAGAGAGTGTGTTATTCAAAAACAAACAAACAAACAAAAAACACAAAAAAAAACAAAAGAAAAAAAGTATGTTGTTTAGTTTCCAAGTGTTAGGAGATTTTCCTGTTAATCCTTCTGTTACTGATTTCTAGTTTGATTCCATTGTGATCAGAGGCTGCCTCGGTGATGATGGCTGCTGACTGATGAGGGTGGTGGTTGATGTGGCAGTTTCTTAAAATAAGACAACAATAAAGTTTGGCACATTGATTGACTCTTCCTTTCATGAAAGATTTCTCTGTACCATGCAATGCTATTTGACAGCATTTTCACCCACATTAGAACTTCATTCAAAATTGGAGTCAATTCAGTTAAACTCTGCTGCTGCCTTATCAACTAAGTTTATGTAATACTCTAAATTCTTGCTTGTCATTTCAAGAATGTTCATAGCATCTTCACTAGGAGTAGATTCCATCTCAAGAAACCACTTTCTTTGCTCATTGATATGAAGCAACTCCTTATTTATTTTTTATCGTGAGACTGCAGTAATTCAGTCACATCTTCAGGCCCTACTTCTAATTCTAGTTCTCTTCCTATTTCCACCACATCTGCAGTTACTTCCTCCACTGATGTCTTGAACTCCCACAGAGTTATCTGTAAGGGTTGGAATCAACTTCCAAACTCTTGTTAAGGTTGATACTTTGACCTCTCCCCTGAATCACGAATGTTCTTAATGGCATCTAGAATGGCGAATGCTTTCTACAAGGTTTTCAATTTGCTTTGCCTAGAGTAATCACTATGGCAGCTGTAGCCTTGCAAAATGTATTTTTTAAACAGTAAGACTTCAAAGTCAAAATTATTCCTTGATCCATGGGTTGCAGAATGGATGTTGTGTTAGCAGGCATAATAAAAACAGCTTTAATCTCTTCGTATTTCTCCATCAGAACTCTTGGGTAATTAGGTGCATTGTGAATGAGCAGTAATATTTTGAAAGGAATCCTTTTTTCTGAGTAGTAGGTCTCAGTAGTGGGCTTAAAATATTCAGTAAACTATGCTTAAACAGATCTGCTGTCATCCAGACCTTGCTGTTCCATTTATAGAGCACAGGCAGAGTAGATTTAGCATAATTCTTAAGGGCCCTAGGATTTTCATTATGGCAAATGAGCATCAGCTCATATAGCCCGTAACAGCTCTGTCAGCCCGTAACAAGAGAGTCAGCCTGTCCTTTGAAGCTTTTGAAGCCAGGCATCGACTTTTCCTCTCTAGCCTTGAAAGTCCTAGATATCATCTTCTTCCATTAGATCTATCTATTCCAAGCCTGTTTCATCTGCATTGAAAATCTGTTGCTTTGATTAGCCACCTTCATCAATGATCTTAGCTAGATATTTTGAATAACTTGCAGCACTACATCAGCATGTGCTGCTTCATGTTGCCCTTTTATGTTACGAAGATGGCTTCTTTCCCTAAACCTCATGAACCAACAACTGCTAGCTTCTGACTTTTCCTCTGCAGCTTCCTCATCTCTCTCAGCCTTCATGGAAATGAAGAGAGTTAGAGACTTGCTGTGCATTAGGTTTTGGCTTAAGAGAAGGTTGTGGCTGGTTTGGACTTCTATCCAGACCACTAACGCTTTCTCCATATCAGCAATATGCTGTCTCACTTTCTTAGCATTCATGTGTTCACTAGATTAGCATTTTTAATTTCATTCAAGAAGTTTTCCTTTGCATTCATAACTTGGCTAGCTGTTTGGTACAAAAGGCCCAGCTTTTGGCCTATCTGTTTTTGAAATGCCTTCCTCACTAAGCTTAATCATTTAAAGGTTTTGATTTAAAATGAGAGATACATGACTCTTCCTTTTACTTGAACACTTAGAGGCCGTTGTATTGTTATTAATTGGCCTACTTTCAATATTGTTTTGTCTCAGGGAAGAGGAAGGCTCCAGGAGTGGGAGAGAGATGGGGCAACAGCCATTTGGTGGAACAGTCAGAATATAGACAACATTTATTAAGTTTGCTGTCTTAAATGACCTTATATGTTCATGGTATCCCAAAACACTTAAAATAGTAACAGATATCACTGATCACAGATGATCGTAACAGACATAATAATGATGAAAAGTTTGAAGTATTATAAGTGTTACCAAAATGTGACACACACATAAAGTGAACACACACTGTGGAAAAATGGCATCAATAGACTTGCTTGACTTAGGGTTGCCACAGATCTTCACTTTGTAAAAAAACACAATATGTACATACTGTGCAATAAAGTGAGGTGTGCCTATGTGCCTTACATAGGTGCAATAAAGTGAGGTGTGCCTGCATCTGCTAGGCCCTGTGGGTGACACAAGGGAGGATACATGAAGATGATGCATGTCTTCACATTTCTTCTAGTGTAGGAGGGAAGACAGCTGGATATGCTACTAACTGTAAAACTGGGCAGGAAGTGATGGCACTATGAAAGTACAAAACAGTATGGTACTCCAGGGGACATAGAGATTACATTCTGTTTTGCAGGAGTAGGGGGCTGGATGGTGAGGAATGGAACAGAGAAAGCTGCATGAAAGATACAGCATTATAGCCAGGGCTTGAACAATTAAAGATAAAGAGGTATCTGTTTCCAGATGGAGTTAGGAAGGCTTGGGCAAGTTTGGGGAATGAGAGATTCCCCAGTTTGAAGGTCAGGAGCTAGTGGGAGGATAAGACTGGGAAGGTTGGTGGAGGACTGATCAGAAACTTTTAACATCATTTGAGAAAGTTGGAACTTTGGAGAATAGTTTAAGAAGGAAGAAGTTGAGGGGTTTCCTGTGTGCATATTGAATTTGAGATTCCAACAGGACATTCAGCTGGAAGAATGTTGTGCTAATTAGAAATGCAGGTCTGGAACCTCAGAGGAGAGGGCTCATCTTGGAGATTCTCACAGTTGAAACTGTACAAGTGGTTGATGTTGCTGATTTGGGAGGAAGGATTCAAAACGAAAGGAAGAAGGCATAGGACAGGATTTGGGGGATTTTGGTGGTAAGCTGGAGTGGGAGCAATAGAGAGAAGGGGAGTTGGTGAAAGAGAATTTAAGAGCCTAGGGAATGTGATGTATGGGAGCCAAGGCAGTGAGAGTTTTAGAAAAGAAGAGAGAGCCCGTCGTTAACTGCTGTAGAAGGGCCAAGGACCATGAGTACTGAGGGAAAGGACTGGTGGGCTTCATCATCTTCAGTTCTTTCTGATTTTGTTGGTTTTAACTTTAGGGGATAGCTTCTTAGGTTTCTGTAAACAAATAGGAGCACTTAATATCCTTGGTCCAGATATCTGCCTATGCCCAGAAACCCTACCCGATGTGTATAACATGTTTTCATTTCTTACTACATAGCTTGTGTGGGTCTGAGTACATTTGGGAATTTTGTGAAAAGAACATATAATATATGGGCTCTGTCAGGATTCTTTCTGGAACTTTGTCCCGGAAACCCCATGTGTCAATGCTGCTCCTTAACTTCTCTCTGGCCCTAATGTTTGAGTATGCCCATATTTCATGCTGCCTCTTCCCACATTTGGAATGAAGCCCAGAGAATGAATGCAAGGAAGGAAGGGGAAGGTGTTAAATAGACATTGTTTTTCAGGCACCATGCTAAGTACTTTGCCTGCATTATCTCATTTAACCATCATAATAACCCTGTGAAGTAAGTAGTATTATCCCCATTTTACAGATGAGGAAACTGAGACGCAGAGAGGTTAAGTGACTTGCCCAAGATCACAAAACTAGTAAGTAAGTGTGAACCCAGATCTGTCTGACTCCAGAGCCTGTGCTCTTTTCCATTGTATCACACTGAGGCTCTGAGTTTGGAGTTCTAAAGTTGGTGTGCAGACCCGAGAGTCAGGGAAGCTCTGCCTAGCACCCTGGGGGAAGCCAGCTTTGGGATGTGATTTATAAATGGCTGTACCCATTGCTGACACTTATGTCATTTTGGCCTTAAGTTCTTTTGAATTGCTCACTCACCTTCCTAATTCTTCCTAAGAAGAACTTTATATAATTGATGTTCTTTTAAGGTCTACTATAATTAAAGACTGATTGCCTCTAGGGAGTGGAACTGGAGGTGGGACGGGGTGGGGCAGGAGGCTGTTGTTTTCCATTGTAAGTCCTTCTATGCTAATACATTTTTAGAATGACATTACTTTGATTCTATAAAAAACCCTCTAATGACCAGTAGAAACAGATACAATAGCAAACACTAAGAATACACAAAAGAACACACTTTGCCAGGTTAATGACTGTGAGATACATTCTTATAACATCACAAAAACTACGTTTTGTGTATCTGTCCTTTTATTTGAAGGTTCGAAATGAGTTTTACAAGGACACACAGGGTGTGATACTGGTCTATGATGTTGGGCAGAAAGACTCCTTTGACGCCCTTGATGCGTGGCTGGCAGAAATGAAGCAAGAGCTTGGACCTCATGGAAACATGGAAAATATTATATTTGTAGTTTGTGCCAACAAGGTAACCCCTCTGGAAATGGTGTGTTCAGATTTCTAGGGAAAGAGTGGAGCTTTGAGTGTTGGGAAACAAAAAGAAAAGAAAAATTCCTTATTGTGTAATATGGAAATCAATAACCTTTCAAAACATAATGTCCCTAAGACAAAAACAAAACAACACAGCAGCCTAAAACCTGCTATATCAAAATTTGTATACATTTTTTTTTTTCTGGTGCCATACATGGGGAAGGATGTTGGTGACTGAGTGGGAGCAATGGTTCCTAATAATCAGACTCTGACCCGACTGGAGTAGGGGCATTAATTAGGTGATGTGGACTATGGAAAGGTGTGAAAAGCAGACTATGGCCCCAAGGGTATGGCAGATGTCATGAAGCCAACTTTCACAGAACTGAGTAACAGCTGTTTTCCCAAGGGATCAGGTGGGACATTGCAGCAGCAGGCACTAGTCCTGTTGCCATAGAATATCAGTCTACATTCAATATTAAGTTTTGTTTCTGTCCCTTTGGTCCTGGTAATTTTACACACTAGTGCAGGCATTTACTAAGAATAGCTTTGCCTTAGTAAAGGATTGACAGAGACCCTCACTGGGTCCATTCTAGTAGGACAAGATTGTAATCTTCTCTCTGTCCCCCGCCCCTTCTATTTCAGATTGATTGTACCAAACATCGCTGTGTAGATGAAAGTGAAGGACGTCTTTGGGCTGAAAGCAAAGGGTTCCTGTACTTTGAAACTTCAGCACAAACTGGAGAAGGCATTAATGAGATGTTCCAGGTAAGCTAGCATTTTGTTGTTTTAAGGTTTGTGTCAAGGCCACTGTGCCAATTTTCAGTTTAAATTATAGGAAGCAAAAAAGTAATAGGAATTTCTCATTAGAATAAGCTCTTTCTTTTCAAAGAATCTAGTGAGATAGAAATAGAGAAAGGGGGAGAGAAAGGAAGAGAGAATGAGAATGAGTGATCTGACTGCTGTCTATTTTAGATGAGACTTAGCTGATCACCAGAATTACCTGAGGAAATTCTTAAAATACATACTTCTAGGCTTCAGACCTACTGGAAGCTTATGTTGCGATGGAGCCCAGGAATCTATATTTTGAAAAAGCTCTCTCTCCAGGCGATTCTGAAGATCATCAAGTTTAACAAAAGTTATTATACACTGCTTAAGCAGGACAGAGATTTTCTTCAAAGCTACCTTTGGCTAATGGTATTACATTTATATGCATAATCAGATAGAAGCATTACTGTGGCAAAATTGCCTTGCCACCGCTAGTATAATCCTATATTGTAGCCCACAGGGGTGCAGTTAGAGAATAGGAGACTGTCAGTATAGACTCCATCCAGTCACACATAAAAATAAGGCCTCGCCAATCAAGCAGGAAATAGAGGGAGGCGCTCACATCACAACCTGAACAGATGGCCACTTTAAAAAAACCTACTCATCTTGAGTAATTTTAAGGGAAATAGGCTATTTAAAACAATAACTTATAAAGTCAGCCCTTAATTATAGATACATTTGGAAGTAAGTGGTAGCATGAATAATGTAGTTTTCTTCTTATGAATATATCTGATATTTTGGGAATTTTTAGCATTTCAAATAAAGTAGTTACACTATAAAGAGTTGTTCTTAATTATTGAGTGGGATTGTACTTAATCTTTTATGCTGAATTTCCTTCTCACAAGATGTCACTCCTCCTGCTAGAAGACAGATTTCTTCCTTGGCTGACAGGCTGAATTAAGCAAAAGTATTTTCTATTTCAAGATCAAATAAAGTTGATGCTGGTTTGCCATGCTTTCTATTCTTTTGAGTACTTGGAGCTATGTGACTTTGTGCCTGTATGTGTACAATAATGATACCTAACCATTTGAATAGTACTTCACCATTCTGGAGAATTTTACACATTTCATCTCATGGAGACTTACAGCAACAATGTGTGGCAAGTATTGTTATCATTTCATATATGAGAGCATCTAAGGGTAGTAAAGTGATTTGTCCAAGGGACATACTTGTTAGAAATGAGATTTTTTTCAACACTTTAAAGATGCTGGTCCATTCTCTTCTGGCCTCCATTGTGTGTCATGAGATGTTAGCACTCATTCTGACTCTTATTAATCTCTGTACCTAATGTGCCCTTTTTACCCCCTGGCTGCTTTCAAGAGTTTCTCTTTTCTTTGGTTTTCAGCAGTTAGAATATGATGTGCCAAGATGTGATTCTCTTCATTTTTATTCTATTTAGGATTTACTGAGTTTCTAAGATTGGTAGGTGGGTGTTTTTCATCAAATTTGGGGAGTTTTCTGTTTTGTTTTTGTTTTACTATTATTTCTTCAGAGTTTTTTTGGCCACATTCTGGCTCTCTTTACCTTCTTGGCCTCCAATTACATGTATATTAGACCATTTGATTTTGTCCCAGAGTCCCTGAGGCTATATTTATTTTTCTTCCATTTTTTTATGCATTTTTCAGATTGCATAGTCTCTGTTGATTTGACTTCACCACTGACAATCTACTGTTAAACTCCCTGAGGGAAGTTTTCAGCTCTAGAATTTGCATTTGGTTCCCAGTATAGTTCTCAGTTCTCTATTAGATTCTCTGCTCACTCATTAAGAGTATATTTTCCTTTAATTCTTTGAATGTATTTTTCTTTACCTCTTTGAAATATTTATAATAGCTGTTTTACAGTCTTCATCTGCTAAGTCCAACATTTGAACCATCTTGGGTTCAGTTTCTATTTACTACCTTTTTTCCTGACTATGGATCACATTTACATGTTTCTTTGTATGAGTAGTGGTTTTTGATTGAACACCAGACCTTGTGGATAACACATTGTAGAGACTCTAGATTCTTTTATCTTCCTCAGAAGACCGTTGGTTTTTTTTTCTTTTTTTGAGACGGAGTCTGGCTCTGTTGCCCAGGCTGGAGTGCAGTGGCGCAATCTCGGCTCATGGCAAGCTCCGCCTCCTGGGTTCATGCCATTCTCCTGCCTCAGCCTCCTGAGTAGCTGGATTACAGGTGCCCGCCACCATGCCCGGCTAATTTTTTGTATTTTTAGTAGAGACAGGGTTTCACCGAGTTAGCCAGGATGGTCTCGATCTCGTGATCTCGTGATCCGCCCGCCTCGGCCTCCCACAGTGCTGGGATTACAGGCATGAGCCACCGCACCCAGCCTGACTATTGATTCTTGATTGAAGAATGTTTAGTGTTGATTTTTGATTCCTCAGGAGGCAGTTTAATTATTGGCAAATTACAGTGAACTTGTGTTGGCTTGTTTTTTTGCCCTAATAGCAAGGATTTGAAGGAAGTTCAAAGTGTTTCCCAAGCCCTTCTAATTTGGCAGGACTCAGCTTCCAAATTCTGTCTCTTTTGCAGATCTTGTCAGCTCTTGGTTTTAGGTTTTGTTAGGATGAGTCTATAATTTTTAGGGCACAGCCTTTCTGTGGTGCCTCAGTAGATGGTGGGGCAATTAATGAGGGGTTAAGGCAATATCTCCACTCTGACAAGGCTAAACCCTACTGTTCCCAGGATAGCTCTTCTCTAGCACCACTAGACCTCAGGATATTGGTTTTGTTCTCAACCCCATAGCAGCTGTTATCTGGTAAGCCTTGAGTGATCTCACCCTATGCATATATAGCCCAGCCTTTGGCCACAGACTCATGAGAGACCCCCATATGGACTTGGTGCCCAGCTCTGCACAGCTCTCTCCTCTCCAATGGCCTGCTCTGCAGAGTCTAGCCACCTCCTCCTTAGCTCAATGAGACTTGTGTCTGCTCAGACTCCAGCTCTCTGTGATGTGGTCAGGAAATGGACTCCAAGCAGACAACCAGGTGATTGGGGGGCTTATCTCTCAGGGAGCCGTCTTGCACTTGCTGTTGTCCACTGCCAACAGTTTTTTTCCAGTTCGATAGTAGTTGATGGCAGGAAGTCTAGTCCAGTATTCATTACTCTGTCATGGCTGGAACTCAGACATGAAATTTAAACAGGCTTTGGTCTCAATCCTAGTATTCTATAGCCTACACTATGACTTGTCTCCTATAACCATGTGTGTGATGAATGAATCCTTGTGCCCTCAGAAATCTATGAATATTCATATTTCAGGTTAACTCGTAGGCTAGAAGACAGTCTTACTGATACACAACTAGCAAACATCCGTGAACTGTGATCCCTTTTATGTGGCTTTTATCTTTTTAGATACATCTTGGATAGAACTAATGGATAAATTAGTCTGTTTAAAAAAAAAAAGCTAACAAGAAGAGAATAATTACAGTATTCTATAAGTAAGTACTTAAAAGTAGTGCTTTCCTGCTGGTTCAATTTAATAAATATTTTCTTTATTTCCCATCTACTTAATAGACATTTTATGTCAGGAAGTAACATGGTTTTATCTGATTGATAACTGTTAACAGAGAGAGCAATATTAAGACAGACTAAAGCCAAGCTAATACGTCTTGTGTCTTGGTCTCTAGTGGTATTCCTTTGACACCCCTTTTCAGACGTCAAGGCTTCTTGTTAGGTTACCAAGTTGATTAGCTAATACTAGACATCAGAAAGGAGAGTCTAAAAGAAAGATAAGAATTTTAGAAGATAACAGGAACTATAAAAGAATCCAAAAAAGAAGAGGAAAAGATTTTTAAAGAAATTAGGAGGAGATATGTCCATTTAAAAGTGGCTGTAGTGTGGTAAATGAGTATTATTCAATAATAATTACAGTGCACAGAACATGAAACATGAGCAGGGTCAAAAAAGCTTTCACCTAAAAAAAAATCAGAAAAGTGTAGCCAGGTGCAGTGGCACATACCTGTAATCCCAGCTGCTCAGGAGGCTGAGACAGGATCACTTGAGCCAAGGAGTTTGAGACCAGCCTGGCCAACATAGAGAGACCCTGTCTCAAAAAAAAGAAAAAAAATTGTAAAAATGGGCAAAGAATAAGAAGTTTGCAGAAAAAGAAAAGGCCATAAGCATTTGGAAAGATACCCACTTTCACTTCTAATTAAAGAAATGCAAATCAAACTATATTAGATATATATCAGATTAGTAACACTTAAGATGTTTGATAATGGTCAGTGTTAATGAGGGTATGGAGAAGTAGGCACTCTGTCTCACACACACGGTGATGGGAATGTAAACTGGTACAGCTTTTTTTTTTAACAACGGTTGTCAGACTCAAAAATTAAAATGCGCATATACTCTTTCTCAACAGTTCTGCTTTTAGGAATTTATCCTAAAGCAGTATCCCCACAAGTGTACTGAGATGTATACACAAAAGAAAAATTTACTGAAGCACTGTTTATAGTAGCAAAAAAACTAGAAACAACTGACTTGTCCAAGAATAGAGAGTTGGTTACACAAATTATGGGACAGCTACACAATACAATACTGAACAGTCATTTAGAAGAACAAAGAAAGTCTCTACATGTAGCTATAGAAAGATTCCAGGATGCATTATGTGGAAAAAAATACAAGGTGCTAAGATGTGTTTAGTCTGATCTCCTTTAGTACATGTTGAAAGAGTATGGATCTGTGTATATACTGGCATACTGATGGTAAATTTTTCTGGAAGGATGCTCAAAAAAAATTAACAATGGTTACCTCCAGGAGAGGAACTTGAGGAGTAGAGAGACACAGTTTTCATTTTACACTTTTCTTTACTATTTGAATTTTTCTAACAATGTTCATCATTACTTTTGTTGTTTTGGTTGGTTGGTTTGTTTTTGAGACAGGGTCTGGCTCTGTCACCCAGGCTGGAGTACAGTGGCATGATCTGGGCTCACTGCAGCCTTCACTTCCTGGGCTCA
This sequence comes from Homo sapiens, assembly GCF_000001405.40. Taxonomy (NCBI): domain Eukaryota; kingdom Metazoa; phylum Chordata; class Mammalia; order Primates; family Hominidae; genus Homo; species Homo sapiens. The sequence continues at coordinate 24,952,031 of NC_000002.12, read as the reverse complement.
AGCATCCTCCGACCTCAGCCACCCAAGTATCTGAGACTACAGGCGTGCACCACCACACTCGGGTAATTTTTGTATTTTTTGTGTGTGTGGAGACGTGGGTTTGCCATGTTGCCCAGGCTGGTCTCAAACTCCTGAGCTCAAGCAATCCGCCTGCCTCGGCCTCCCAAAATGCTGGGATTACAGGTGTGAGCCACCATGCCCTGCCCATCTGTTACTTTTTAACTTCAATTGTGGTTATCTGAAAGTAGGATTATTAGCCACTTTAATTTTATTCCTTATACTTTTTGTGTATTAAAATATATGAATATATATATTTAAATAGTATAAAAGAAAAAAATCTTCCAAAGTGTGTATTTGCTTTATACATGACTTCTAAGAGTTGCTGGAATATATTAAAAGTCTTTTAAGTTGATGCTTAAAAGGAATTCCTATTTTCACAAAATCATTTCTACCCTGGGTTATGTTTTCTTCTTGTAGACCTTTTATATATCCATAGTTGATTTATGTGAAAATGGCGGGAAACGCCCTACCACCAATAGCAGTGCTAGTTTCACCAAAGAACAAGCAGATGCCATTCGCAGAATTCGAAATAGTAAAGACAGTTGGGACATGCTGGGAGTCAAACCTGGGGCCTCAAGGTAAGCGCTCTGGGATACTTAGTGCTGATTGCTATCATAAAGAAAGACTCCATCACCAAAATTATAGGTGCAGTATATCTTCCTCCAGTTGGCTGGAAATACGAAGATGTATGAAAATATATTAGAATGACTCAGTTTCACTGAATTAGCTGAATACCAAAGAGACAAAATAGAGGGCACAGTTGCCTGGTGAGAAAACTGTGTCGTGTACGTGCATAAATACTTCATGAAATGGTATGCTCTGCTTTCATCTGTCTGGAACAAGAAGAGCTTTGAAAAGAACTAACAAAAGAGAATTCTTCAATCATAGAATGTTAGAGGAGGAAAGCACGTTGGCAATCAACTTGTCAAACATTTCATTTTATAGGTGGGAAAACTGGGATTCAGTGAGATTAAACATGTTCAAGAATCCCCGGAGTTAGTGGTATAATTGGTTCTTACCCTGGAACACTGTATGTTTGACTGTCTCTGTCTTTGTCTCTAAAGCCCTGCAAGTTCCTCATCTGTGTGTGTATTTGTTTATTTTTTTTTTTTATTTTTATTTTTGAGACAGAGTCTCACTCTTATCACCCCGGCTGGAGTGCAGTGGCGTGATCTCAGCTCACTGAAACCTCTGCCTCCTGGGTTCAAGCAATACTCCTGCCTCAGCCTCCTGAGTAGCTGGGATTACAGGCACACGCCACCACGCCCGGCTAATTTTTATATGTTTAGTAGAGATGGGGTTTTGCCATGTTGGCCAGGCTGGTCTTGAACTCCTGGCCTCAGGTGATCCAACTGCCTCAGCCTCCCAAACTACTGGGATTACGGGCGTGAGCCACCACACCCAGCCCTCTGTGTGTGTATTTATGTTAATTATTTTAGTCAAAAGAGTTATTTAAGAAAAAAATTCAATCACTATTCTTTGTTGCTTGTACAAAAATTAAATTATTATTCATTATGGTTATGTAACTTTCAACGGTCTAATTCTACCGTTACTACACATATTGTAGTGTAGTACAATATGCGCCCAGACTCCCCCCACATACTTCACCCTTCCTACTTTTTCACCTTGATTCTCACAAAAGAAAAAAGTATGTCTTGAAATTGCCATGTCAGCACCCAAAGCACTACACATCTCTTCTCCATTCTGACCTCACAGCGTATCTTCAAGTCCAGAAGGAAAGCGGGGAAGGGAAGGGGAAAACTGTTATTGGGCACACTCATTCACCAGGTGATATTGAGGATGCTTTAAAACTGTCAGGGAATTCAGATGACCTCGTGTAGGGCACAGAGTTTATCGGGATCTTTTTTTTTTTTTCAGTGCTATACTCTTTGGTTTATTGTAGATTTTTAGTGGGTTTTGAAATTCGAAAATGTGAGTCTTCCTATTTTTTTTCAAGATTATTTGACTATTAAGGATCTGTTGTAATTCCATATATATTTTAAGATCAGCTTCTCCATTTATGAAAAAAAAAAAAGCCAGTAGGGTTTCAGTAAGATTGCACTGAATCTGTATATCTGTATATTTTACATTTCTTTTTAGGCCTTCATAGTCTCTTTCTGAATTCTTCTGTGTCATCTCCAAGGGATACTGGCTCTAAACTTAAGAAACAATTACTTTATCTACTTGTTAGTAGACTTAGAACAATATTCATTAAGAAAGAAGAAACTTAGGGCTCCTTATGTATTCACTTTGGTTAATTGAAATTTACCAGAACTTACAGGCCCCTATAGGTTTCATATCCTTAACCAATAGAAACATGTGCTTCTCTTACCTTTATTCCACTGGGCCTAGCAAACTAATTTTATATGGCACTAAGTACATTTGGGAAAAAGCCTTAAAACATTTTTTTCTTAAGTTACAGAGAGTTTTGGTATTTGTTGACTGTTAACTGTGTTTACTGTTCTTGAACTTTAAGAAAATCTTCGTCTTCAACGGAATTGATGTATTTGTTACATCTTGAGAGTTTCTCCCGCTACCTGCAAATCTTGAAAGGCACTCTTAGTGCAGAGGACCGGGTGTAACTACTGACCCCATGTGGACACCCTCTCTGGGGAGGCAGAGTGGCTGGAAGGGCCCTTCCCAGGACTCCCTTGTGGGGAAGAGGGAGGATGCTGTACCTTCCTCAAGGACACGGGGTCTTTGGGACAAATAAGAATTCTTACAATTCAAATTGCTTCAGAGAGGGAGAATGTCATTCTTGTTAGCGAATTATCAGAATTACACATGTAGAAAAACAACACGCAGGGCACCAGGAAGGTCCCCCAGAGTATCCTTATGAAAGAAGGAGGTTCTTGCTAGAACAAGAAAATTCAGGACCCCTCTAAGAGCAGAAAGCAGAAAAGGCCCTAGAATGTACGCCTAAGACTTGGAGAACTGTTAACATGACCCTATGACCTCAGTCTCTCCAAGCTGATACATAAAACTTTCCATCATAGCCAAGGTATCAAAGGCCATCTGACTTGGAGAGCCACATTAGAAATCCTTCGATAAAAATAAAGGAGAAAGGCTAGGGCATTTGGTAAAGCACCATATAGCTTATAGGATCACTGGAACCCTGAATTAGAAAAGGAAGGTGGGAAATAAAACCATCTGGTAGAGACAGAGCTTAATCTGACTGGGGAGTGGCTGGGTACTTAGAGCCCTCTGGGAGGCCTGACACCAGAGGATGATGACCAGTGGGGACAGGGACAGATGGGTCCAGGCCCCTCCCCAGCCAGTTTTGGCTCTTTGAGGAGCTCAGAAGCCTGCAGCTCTCTCCTGGAGCGCTGCTGGTTTATCGGAACCGCCGGATTGGAGAAGCACTGCTACTGCTCCTTTCCTCTCTGGATAATACTGATCTCTGTCGTGTTTCTTCTTTGGTCTCGTGAGCTCATTGTCATTCTGGACTACCCCTTTCCAGCATCCCTTGCTTGCTCAGTGGTGTCACCTTCTTGGGCCTCAGATTCCTCGTGACCTTGACCCTGGAGCTCATTTCAGCCCCTTTCTTTTCATCTTCTCCTCCTGGATATTCAGCTCATCATCCACTTCTGCCATTTCTTTCTTTATCTTTTATCTTCCCTTGTTTCCTTCCATAAATACCTTAATCTAAACTTGTACTCACTCATGCCTGGGTTATGTAACAACCTCCTGTATCCTAACTTCAAGAAACAGTTTTCCCAGCACACACTTGTCATGAAACACCTACTGTTGTGATTGTTTATCAGGCCCAGGTGTTGGGGTTGTTTTGCTTCCCGTCTGTGCTGTGTTCGGGCTCCATTCCAGGCCACTGTTGGTTCTCTCCCAGAACCCCTTCTTTCAGAAGGCAACTCTGGATGCCTTCCCTGGTGCCCAAGCCCTTATTCTTTCAATCAGCAAAGATATGCTGAGTGCCTGTGAGGTGCCAAGTACTGCCTGTTTTCATCTGATTATTATTTTACTAAGTGTTTTGTTAGCATTTATATACTTTTTGCATTGTGCAATAATAACTTTTTCAATTTGTGTTATATATTACATACTATTTATTGGTTGGTTGTCTGTTTTCTAGTCCTTTAATCCTGCCTTTGAGAAAGGGTAATAATTTAGGATATGTTCACTGTAAGAGATACTATGTGTGTCCAAACAGCTAACATGCAGTGGGTTGGGCTGACTCTGTTACTAACATAGATCTTGGCTTCTTTTCCCAGGGATGAAGTCAATAAAGCGTATCGGAAACTTGCTGTGCTTCTTCACCCTGACAAATGTGTAGCACCTGGCAGTGAAGATGCCTTCAAAGCAGTTGTGAATGCTCGGACAGCCCTCCTGAAAAACATCAAGTAGAAAGTACAGAAAAAAGCCACATGTGGGACTCAAATGCAAACAGACTTTCCCTAGAGGTGAAATAACCAACGTGGAGTTTTCCTTCCCAGAATCTCACTGCTCTTTTCATTCATGTGTTGTCATTTGTATATCAGTAATTCAGGTACCCATTTCATAGACATTTTACTGAGAAATGACCTGCATTTGTATGAAGTGAACTGAGCGTCACACCCTGTACTTCATTTCATATTTCTAGATAATTCTGAATTTTTTTCTCATTCGTCAGCTCTGTAATTATAGTATCACTTAGACATTTCACTTGGGGAAATCCACAAGGTTCCTGGAGGAGGGAAGAGAGGACAAGAGGACCCTTTCACTTTTTCTTTTTTACGGAATTCATCATCAGAGAAGAAAATAACAAAAATGGAAGCAAACAACATCAGAACCCCTGTAAGTTTGGTGTGACCTTACAGACAAGTTGCTGCTTTTACAATGAGTTCCTTAGGTGGTATTTTAACCCATCGATCTATAATGATGACTCTTGGCAGCCCTTTGGGAGTTTGTAAAATGAGGTGATACAGTTCTGAATTGAGCATTCCTTTATGATATTCACTCTGTTCCTCTTCTGCAGCCACCAGTGGGAGAGACAAGCCAGTCCTAAGAGAAAAGGTGGTGGCAGCCACAAATTCTAGGTACACTGGCTGCTGCCTATCCTGTCCCTGGATCTGAGGCCTTTCCCTTGCCATAGAAATGGTTGCTGGTAGCAGTAGAGAGCACTGTGCACCTGGGAATGAGGAATCAGGCCCCAAGACAGAAGTACTTGGAGGAGCCAGCTGCAGTAGTATCCGCCTGTAGTCCCAGCTACTCAGGAGGCTGAGACAGGAGGATTGCTTAAGCCCAGGAGCTCAAGTCCCACCTGGGCAACATAGTAAGATCTTGTCTCTTAAAGAAAAAAAAAAAAGGTACTTAGAGGTCGCACTTAAAGATTATGCACATCAGCAGAGGAAAGGCCAGCCAAGCTTGGGGCAAGCTTGATGCAGTAGGAGAGACTCCTTATGAGGCTTAGCCCTTGTCTTACTGCCAGCCTTTGCCACAGGCAGGTGAGAAAGGCAGGGCCACTCCTCAGCAAAGTTGGCCTCTTCTACACTTCCTCACCAGTGTTGTTTCTTCCTTTTTTCCCCTCTTCCCCTTCCCGTCTTGTGTTTTTTCTGAACCCCACATCTGCCATCATTTCTCTCCTCTAGAGTCCCTGGCTTCTGGCCACTGCCTCCTCCCTCTTCTAAGCCTTGGCCTGAATCTGGTTGATCAGAGGCAAGTGTGGATCCTTTGGGTGGCAGTCAGGGGAGATCTCAGGGCCTCTGTTGGGAGGAATCTCTGTAATTCCTGCTTGGGCTCCAAATTTCTGAAGAGTAATATTTTTAAACTATAGCTTACAAAATACATTCTCTGACCACAGTCTCCTCCTTGATATACAAGGGATGGATGAAGTTCATGTATTAGGACTGGCACTCCTTACGGTGCTTATAGAACTAGTCTCACCACTTGACTCATTACGTCGTCATTCTTGTTACATCACTCATACTTTTAGCTGCAACCACACTAATTCACATTTTTATATACTTTCAATTAGCTGTACTAATTGGGGCTTGAAAGTATATAAAATCTTCCTGTCCTGTGAATTTTAAAAAGCTATCCCATATCGATTGCCAAAGAGCATCTACCTTACCTCCTAAGAAGAAAAGCCACTTTCTTCCAATCCAAGCCCACTGCAGCCTTGTGGATTTTCCACACAGCAGCTTTTCACTGTATGCCTGTACTTGGGCTGCACTGAGCTTGTCTTCAGGAAACCAGAGCGTTGCTTTATCATCGCACTTTTCATCTTGGTAATATCAAAACAACTTTTTAAATGAACTGATTGATATATGTTATTTCTTGCGAGGTTTTCCTCTGGCCTTTAACTGGCTTCTGAGGCTACAGAACTCCAACCCAGAGTTCTTCGGGACCTAAATTTTGCTTAAGGAAGGCCTTTATCATGCTGAAAGCACTCAGACATGTCTGTCCTCACAGCAGAATGTAGAAGTCATATGAATGAGGGATCGTGCACGGTAGCGTCAGCCCGAATTGACACGACAACTCTGAATGTGTGGCCCTCTATGAAAGCTGGTGCCAGTTTTCATCACTGTTATTAAATACTAGATTGGGAACCTCATTCAGCCGTATTGCACAGATGAGCAATTACAGCAGAGAAAATTCATTAGTGCTCCCACTCATATCCTTATGTGTGAGTTGGTGAAATTTAGCCTGAGCTTGATTCTTAGGTCTTGAGACTCAGTTTCCAACACCTTCATTATTAATGTTAAGAATGGCCATATACCACTTCATTTACGTAAAAGGAATAAAATAAGCAAGTTAAGCTTCAGGGTCCTAGAATTTTTCTGATTTCTATAATCCTTCAGCAGAATATTAAGAAATAAAGCATGATCTGCAATGGAAAGGTTTTTTTGGCACTAACTTCATGCAGAATTTCACAGACATCTATGCATTAATTTAAATTCTTGGTGCAAATGTGTGCTTTGTAGTTCAACCTTATTAAAAATTCTTCAGCCAGTTAGGATTTCAAAATACATTAGTGAGAGTAACAGCTAGCAGAATAATTACAATGGCTAAAACGTTTTTATAGAGAATCTTGTTTTTCAAAAAAGAATAAAAAGTTTGAATAGCTATTATTAAAGAAAAGCCATGTCTTCAACATCTGAGTCACCAAGAAGTAACACTTTTTAAACTTGTTAGAAATCCCTGGAGGCATTTCAAATTCATCTTCTAACCTACCTAAGCACTTTAAAATACAGCCTCCTTCTGTTCCTCTGTTCCCCTTCATGCCTCCTTTTGAATTGATATCTCAGCTGTCAATATTTCTTTGACTTCAGCATTGTTATTTTATTTCTCTATATCAATGTGTCCTTAGTTTTCTTAGCCTGTTAATTTAAAAATCCAGACTTGGGGGTCATTGTGTTGCTACCCAAGAGAAAATGCTACAGTTTTATAGATTGCACATCATTCTTTAAGGCATACTTTTACCTCAGGAAACTTACTCTAGTATGTTCTCATATATTGAATTCTCAACTAAGTAACTATTTCTTTATACCTATAAACTAGTACCTAATTCACTGTTAGTTAAATGAGCTATAGATAAGGCAGCTAAATTTCTGAAAGATAGCCAGAGTAAGTAAGCAGCCACTGCAAGCTCTGAATCAGTTTTTTAAAAAAAAGAAAAAAAAAAAAAAGGAGCTGTGCCCCATTGAACAATGACAACATCACAAGGGGAAGGGAGGGATTTTGCCAAAAGTTAGAAAGGTGGAGCTGTAAGCCATGTGCTTGTTGCCTTTGACAGTGACAGTGCGCGTCTTACAACTAATTCCACTAGGCATGGGAATGTCACCTCCTTTGCCACTGTACCCCATCAAGCTTACTCTGAATCAAAGGTTTTGTAAAACTTTTGAAAATGAACTTAGCTGCAAAATATAGCTAACCACTTTCCATTGCAAGCTTTGCAAAGTGAAGAGAGGTTCGTACTTCTCATAATTGGTATTTAGCACAATTGTAAGATACAGTTTTACTGTTTGTACATCGTTTTTTTCCATTAAACTTTTCTAGAGAAGACAAAAGCTTACACTGGTGACATGGATAAGTGAGATGGTGTCTAACGAGCAGTGCAATATTAGGCGGTGCAATAGAGGCCCTGTTGGCAAGATGAGTTTTGCTGGAGAGCTGGACAGTGTTGGTTAGCTTCCTGCATTGATTGCCCCTGGGCGTTCTTCCCCCTTAACTGTGAAAGCAGAGTCTATAAATGAACTCTTTGCTCTTACAAGGTAATTTACATATTTTCTTTCTGTTGAAATAACTGAAAATGTTAAATCTACCAGTTTATGTCTTGTAAACAGAGTGTCATATGTATTTAAGTTGTGTATTTTTATAAAGTAAAGCCAAGTATCAAACACCGGTCTGTGGGCTGCATTTATTTGTGGAAACACTGGTCTTTAATGGAAAACATACTAAGCTAGATGCCAATCCAGTTCCTCACCGACTGTGACCCTCAGTAAGACATTCCTGAGAATGGCCCACCCCTCTTTCAGGGGAGCTACTCTGTCCTCTTCATCCTACTAACATGGTCTAAGGGGGAGACGTTCAAAATGTTCAAGGTCTTTTTTCTTTTTTTTTTTTTTTTTTTTTGAGATGGAGTCTCACTCTTGTCACCCAGGCTGGAGTGCAGTGGTGTGATCTCAGCTCACTGCAACCTCTACCTCCTGGGTTCAAGCAATTCTCCTGCCTCAGCCTCCCGATTAGCTGGGATTACAGGTGCCCGCCACCATACCTGGCTAATTTTTGTATTTTTAGTAGATTTTTGTAATTTTAGCCATGTTGGCCAGGCTGGTCTCGATCTCCTGACCTCGTGATCCACCTGCCTTGGCCTCCCAAAGTGCTGGGATTACAGGCGTGAGCCACTGCTGAGCCATTGCGCCCGGCCTCAAAGTTCAAGTTCTTTCCCATCTTTCCTCCCTGGTCACAGACACCAGTCCACAGGACAGGAATGTGACCCCAAATAGGTCACATAGGTGTCCTTCCCTAGGATCTCTCCAACTGAAGCTAGGAAGATACTTTCTCTCAGGAAAGGAAGAAGTCCCAGTGATGGCTGACAACCTTGATTCCAACCTCATGGGAAAAAATTGAGAATGAAGCAGACATCCAGCGAGAGGCAGAGTCCTGATGGTTTTCAGCCTTGCCTTCTAGTCCTTGAGGGAGGGCCCGTGAGCTTGTTTGTCAAGCTCGTCAGCCACCTCGGAGTCCTTCCACTTGTTTACTGCTTCAGTTTAGTTGGAGTTTGCTTTCTGTTACCTGCAGCCTAAAGAATGTTAGAAAATAAAAGCCAACAAGGATCATAAGCAGGGATGAGAAAGCTATGGTCAGTAACATTTAACAAGTGTAACATTTTATGTATTAAAATATATCCAATTACTTAGTTTTTCTCAACTGGAGTCTTTGGCTGCTTTTTAAACCAATAACCAGTTGTAAATGGAAAAGAACTGGACTTACTCAGTTCATTTCAGGGTCAATTTAAGATGCAAAATTATCTGGCTTTTTAGTTTCCAGTTGATCCATTGTCTATCGAGGGCACCTGTAATTTCTTAAATTTTTAATCAAACTTTATTGTTAAAGTGTTCATTCACCAGCCGGGTGCAGTGGTTCACACCTGTAATTCCAGCGCTTTGGGAGGCCGAGGTGGGTGGATCACGGGGTCAGGCATTCGAGACCAGCCTGGCCAACATAGTGAAACCCTGTCTCTACTAAAAATACAAAAAATTAGCTGGGCATGGTGGCGGGCACCTGTAATCCCAGCTACTCTGGAGGCTGAGGCAGGAGAATCGCTTGAACCTGGGAGGCAGAGGTTGCGGTGAGCCGAGATCGCACCACTGCCCTCCAGCCCGGGCGTCAGTGCGAGACTCCGTCTCAAATATATATATATATATATACATTCACCATGTATTTACTGAGCATCTACCATGTGCCAGGCCCTGTCCTAGGCACTGGAGATCTAGCAGAGCACAGAAGTGACAAAAATCCCTGCCCTGTGGAGCTTACAGTCTAGTGTCATTTTTTAAAATTTGTGTTTTGAAGAGTTTCTTTTTTTCTGTAATTTATTTCTGAAGAAGCAAGTTTGCATTTTTTAGAAATCTTCAAGATATACAATTTCAGAATTAATACTCTTATTGCTACTATATACTGAAGATCATGTAGGTTGTTAAATGCTTTTATTTTTTTGAGAGCGCAACCATTATCATTATGCCAAGCTCAGTTTTTCAGGTTGGCCTAAAGGAAATAGTTCCAGCTGGGCGCAGTGGCGCACACCTATAATCCCAGCACTTTGAAAGGCCAAGGTGGGGGCAGGAATCACTTGAGGTCAGGAGTTCAAGACCAGCCTGGCCAGCATGGCGAAACCCCCGTCTCTACTAAAATTACAAAAATTTCCTGGGGGTGGTGGTGAACACCTGTAGTCCCAGCTACTAAGGAGGCTGAGGCAAGAGAAGCGCTTGAACCCAGGAAGCGGAGGTTGCAGTGAGCTGAGATCATGCCACTGCACTCCAACCTGGGTAACAGAGTGAGACTCTGTCTCAAAATAAAATAAAATAATTAAAGGAAACAGTTCCAACCTTTAGTTAGGGCTTTCTTTATATACAAGTTTGTATATTTATAATGAAAATATTAACAAATTCTTCTAAAGCAGTTGAAAGCTGGATTCATTTTAAGGGAAAATATCTAAAATCTAAGTTTGTTGTTTTAGTTATATAAACCAATGTGTACCTATAATACCACCTTGTTAAAATTCTGGTCAGTTGACTGTTCTAAATGCTGTGACTTTAAGAAAATGTCTCCTTGCATCCAAAAGCAATTCGTTGGTAATTATAAAATCAGCAGCTGTAACTCATGAACGTATTTGTATTAGGAAGAGAATGTAAAAATCTGCTATGATTGAGAGAAATTAAGATGAGAAGGTCTTATGTCCTCAGATGTCAGGATGTAAACATTCTGCTAGTTTTGGAGTATGAGAGAATGAAAAGTTAATTGAATAAATACTGAAGAAAGAAAGGATCTTAGTGGTTCAAAAGGAAAATAAGGCCAAGTACGGTGGCTCATGCCTGTAATCCTAGCAATTTAGGAGGCAAGGCAGGTGGATCACCTGAGGTCAGGAGTTCGAGACCAGCCTGGCCGACATGGTGAAACCCCCATCTCTACTAAAAATACAAAAATTAGCTGGGAGTGGTGGTACATGCCTGTAATCCCAGCTACTCGGGAGGCTGAGGCAGGAGAATTGCTTGAACCCGGGATGCGGAGGTTGCAGTGAACCGAGATCGCACCACGCACTCCAGCCTGGGCGACAAGAGCGAAACTCTGTCTCAAAAAAAAAAAAAAAAAGGAAAAATAGAAGAAACTGTCTCCCTTCTGACCAGCAGGGAGCAAACAGAAAAGCCCCAAGTCGGTGGTTGTCAACTGTTTTTTTAGTGACTAAACCCTGTATTTCTAGTAAACTCCAACATGGGACCCCTATATATTAAAGAGCTAAAAGCAACATTTTATTAGGACAAATCTGTAAGTTCACATTGGTAACTTCACCCCTTCTAGAAGAAGCGAATAGGCAGTTGTGCCTCCTGAGGAAGATGGCAGGGTTTAGATCTAAGATGGTAATCTCTCCTGCTCACAGATGCTGGTGGAGGAGAGCACCTTGCCCAAGAAAATGAATCGTATTCAAGGAAACTGGGTTAAGAGCTTTTGCTGGGCCTCGTGCTGAAGGCAGTGCTAGGCAGAAGCTCTGTTTAATGCAGCTTCCTGATGAAATTTTAGCTATGAGGGAAGGTACTCCGACATTGTGCTGTGAGGCAAAGAGCTAAGCCGCTCTTCCAAAGAAATGAACAAGACTCCCAGAGGTTGGGGACTGCCTAAAGGAAGAGAAAGATTTGATTAGATGGAGTAGAAGACTGAGGTCTTGAGAAGGGTAGTTAGAAAGATGCTAGATGGTAGAAATTATGAGATATTAAATAACCTTAGAAAGATAGCCAAAGAGGGCCGGGTACGGTGGCTCACACCTGTAATCCCAGCACTTTAGGAGGCCGAGGCAGGAGGATCGTGAGGTCAGGAGATCAAGACCATCCTGGCCAACATGGTGAAACCCCGTCTCTACTAAAAATACAAAAATTAGCTGGGTGTGGTGGTGCATGCCTGTAATCCCAGCTACTCGGGAGGCTGAGGCAGGAGAATAGCTTGAACCCAGGAGGCGGAGGTTGCAGTGAGCCAGATCGTGCCACTGCACTCCAGCCTGGTGACAGAACAAGATTCCAGCTGGGAAAAAAAAAAAAAAAAGTGAAATAATTAAGAAAAGAAAGAAAGATAGTCAAAGAGAAGTTCCAGAAATAACCAATGACTCTTAAGAACATGGATGTCTTTTATTTTTATATTGTTATCCCCATTTTATGGATGAGAAAACCGAGGCTCAGAGGGGTTAAATGCCTTGCCCGAGGCCACACAGGAAGCTATTCACGCCGGGAGAGGTAGCTCACACCTGCAATCCCAGTACTTTAGAAGGCCAAGACACAGCGGATTGCTTGAGCTCAGGAGTTCAAGATCACTCTGGGCAACATGGTGAAATCCTGTTTCCACAAAAAACACAAAAATTAGCCAGGCATGGTGGCACACGTGTAGTCCCAGCTACTCAGGAGGCTGAGGTGGGAGGATGACATGAGCCCGGGAGATCAAGGCTGCAGTGAGCCGTGATTGCACCACTGCACTCCAGCCTGGGGGGCAGGGGGAAAAAGCTATTAAAACCCAAGACTGCCCATTTTCAGAACTCAGCTTCCCACTATATACTATCAGGCTCAGGATCCAAATTTTAAAATATTCTGCTTCCCACTCATAAGTCATATTGTACCTGTTTACCAGGTTGCTTAGATGGACATAAAGAGGTATATATATATATATACTATATATATATATATTTTTTTTTTTTTTTGAGAGGGAGTTTTGCTCTTGTTGCCCAGGCTGGAGTGCAGTGGCGCGATCTTGACTCACCACAATCTCTGCCTCCTGGATTCAAGCAGTTCTCCTAAAGAGGTCTATATATTTTTAAAAGACCACCATAGATAATTTTCCTCATCAAATCCTGCATGTATGCAGAGGAATGACAGAAACTTCTTTCTGAGGTGTGCCCAAACCAAGAAAGAGTTAACATGAGTGCTTTAGAATATGGAATTTGGTGGATGTACTTATTACGTTTTCTTTTCTTTTTTTTTTTTTTTTTGAGACAGAGTCTCTCTCTGTCGCCAGGCTGGAGTGCAGTAGCACGATCTCGGCTCATTCCAACCTCCAACTCCCTGGTTCAAGCAATTCTCCTGCCTCAGCCTCCCGAGTAGCTGGGATTACAGGCATGCACCACCATGCCCAGCTAATTTTTGTATTTTTAGTAGAGATGGGGTTTCACCATGTTGGCCAGGATGGTCTCGATCTCCTGACCTCGTGATCCTCCTGCCTCGGCCTCCCAAAGTGCTGGGATTACAGGTGTGAGCCACCGCACCGAGCCTATGTTTTCTTTCTTTTCTTGCTTTCTTTTTTTTAATTTTTTTTTTTGAGACAAGGTCTCACTCTGTCACCCAGGCTGGAGTGCAGTGGTGCAATCTCGGCTCACTGCAACCTCCACCTCCTGGGCCTAAGTGATCCTCCTACCTTAGCCTCTTGAGTAGCTAGGACCACAGGCACATGCCACCACACCTGGCTAATTTTTCCTATTTTTTGTAGAGACAGTGTCTCCCTGTGTTGCCCAGGCTGCTCTCGAACTCCTGGGCTCAAGCAATCCACCTGCCTTGGCCTCTCAAAGTGCTGAGATTACAGGCGTGAGCTGTCATGCCTGGCCACTTTTTTTTTTTTAAATGAAATTTTAAACTCTTATAGGACCTCTGATACCTCCAGAATGGCTTGAAAATCATGTCTAAAGGGACCTCCACCCAAGTCAGTAACTGAGAATTAAATAACCTATGAGGCAGGAGACAGGGAGAGACCCACTCTAAGGATTTTGTTTCTGAGTGATTTTCATGTTCCTAACATTCTTTTGTCATAGTTAAAACCCAGGAAGCTCTAAAAGGGCTGTTTCCCACCCCATCCTCGCCCCCAAACGTGGTCAGGCATTTTGTGTTAGATTCACTAGCACTACACAAGAAAAAGGTGGTTTATATTCACCAAACTCTAAAGCTTGTCCCTGGGAAGTGTAATTTAGGGAATGGGGTTAGGATAGTTTCACTTTCGTCCAATCCTGTCTATATTGCTTGAGTTTTCCAAATGAATGTCAATTACAGTGTACTTTGGTCATCTAAAAAGCTATACAAAACCAAAAACTAAGCATAGCACCAGTTTTTTTTTAAGCTCACTCTGAAGCTGTTTGTGGGGACCTCTTACAGTATGGTGACTCTAGGCTGTCATGAAATCCTGCTTCTTTACATTAGTAGAAATTTCAGACTACAGGGAAAACAAGCTTTTAATCACTTAGAAATTTTTCAGAAAGCTAACATAGCAATCAGTGCTCCCTGGCTGGGATTTCAAATCCACTTAAGGTAGTTACATATCCGTAAACTCTACTCTCACATAACACAGCAGCAGCAGAATTGAAATTAGAAGACTTGGGATAGAGTCTTATCTCTCCTGTTCATTAATAGAGTAGCCTTGGGCAAGTGGATTCACCTTCTGAGATTAGGTTTCCTCCGTTATTAGATGAGGCCATTTAATTAGATAACACCTGAGGTCCTTTTGAAAGACCATTATTTTATGAAATTTTACAAAGCCAGTAAAAACTAGGTTTCCCAGGCTTCTTGCATATAATTCCACTGCAACATTAACTGAGAGTTTAATAATCTAAGAACAGGTGGGGATGCTGGGAGAGACCTACTCTTTGGGGGGATTTCTTCAACACCCCCCATCCCTGCAAAAAAAGGAAAGGAAAAAATAAAAATTAATTTTTAAAATATTAGCGAATTGGCTGGGCATGGTGGCTCACACCTGTAATCCTAGCACTTTGGGAGGCCAAGGCGGGTGGATTGCCTGAGGTCAGGAGTTTGCAACCAGCCTGGCCAACATGGCAAAATCCTGTCTCTACTAAAAATACAAAAATTAGCCAGGAGTGGTCACAGGTGCTTATAATCCCAGCTACTTGGGAGGCTGAGGCAGGAGAATTGCTTGAACCCGGTTGGGGGGGCAGAGGTTGCAGTAAGCCAAGATTGCGCCACTTGTGAGCCGGGATCATGCCACTTCACTCCAGCCTGATCATAAGAGTGAAACTCCGTCTCAGAAAAGAAAAATAAATAAATAAATAAATAAATAAATGTGTGTGTGTGTGTGTGTGTGAATTAGGCTTTTCCTAAAGTTTGGAATAGCAGGCATTGTTGAACCCTTATTTTTTTAAGCAATTATATACAGAGATAGATATAGATTTTTTTTTGAGATAGAGTCTCCCTCTGTCACCCAGGCTGGAATGCAATGGTGTGATCTTGGCTCACTGCAGCCTCCACTTTCCAGCTCAAGTGATCCTCCCATCTCAGCCTCCCAAGACTACGGGTGTACACCACCACACCCAGCTAATTTTTGTAATTTTTTTTTGGAGACGAGTTTTTGCCATGTTGCCCAGACTGGACTCGAACTCCTGGACTCAAGCAATCCACCTGCCTCAGTCTCCTGAGGAACAGGGGCTGTAGGTGTGTACCACCATGCCTGGGTAAGCCCTCTTTTATTTTAATTAAAGAAAAACCTTAAATTCTTACTACATGAAATAGTGATTATGGCATCTCATTTTACAAAGGTTTGAGATGAAATCACAGGTCTGAAATTTTCAGTAGTATGGGTATGGTGGCTTACGCCTATAGTCTCAGCACTTTGGGAGGCCGAGGTGGGAGGATCACTTGAGGCCAGGAGTTTGAAACTAGCCTGGGCAACGTAAAGACCCTGTCTTTATAAAAAGTTAAAAAATAAAAATTTAAAAAATTATCTGTTTGCGGTGGTGTGGTGGTTTGGGCCTGTAATCCCAGCTACCCAGGAGGCTGAGGAGGGATGATCACTTGAGCTGAGGAGTTTGAGGCTATAGTGAGCCATGATCATGCCACTGCACTCTAGCCTGGGTGACAGGTGAGATCCCAACTCAGAAAAAAAAATAAGAAAAGAAAAGAAAGGAAAAATGTTTCCTGGAAAAGAGCTAACCCTGACTTGATTTTGGTAGGGGTGGGAGAAGCAAAAAAAATTTTTTTTTCAGTAGCAAGTCCATAAGATACAGATGTTCAAAGACATTCTTTTACGAAACAGAAGTTATCTTGGCTCCCACGCTCACATTTTCACCAAGGATGGGAAAACTTAAAATTTGCCTCTTAAGGTAAGTTAGTCACTTCTGGTTTTAAACACAATTAACTCAAGATTAAAACTCAGTAAATGCAAGATCATCTCCCCCTCACATTTCTGCTCCCCTCTTTCCCCCCAGGAGAGATCTAAAGTTGGGGTGGGGGTGCCTCACCTCTCGTTCTGGCCAAGAGTAACGTTTTCTGTCCACTTGCCATCCCCTACCCTCACAGCCTTGGCTGCCTCTAGCTGGTCCTACTGGTCGATCTCCCACTGATGTCATTGGTCCCTCCGTGGCCTCCAGACTGAAGGTATGAGCACTGGTCCTCCTAGTTGTCCAGGCTGGCCCTAGGCCTCCCTGCTCTGCCCCCTGCCCCCTGGAGGATTGGTAACTCTGGGCCACTTTCCCCATCCCAGCCATGAGGCCCATCCCCTTAGGCCTCTCTTCCAGCCATCACCACTCTGAGGCTCTGGTGCCATGTCAGACCCAATTTCATGCCAGGCTCCTCTTGGAAACTGCAACTGCAACCTCTCAGGCTGCTTCAAGTTTTCTACTAGGCCCGAGGAGTGACTGGTGTGCTGGCAAACTGGCTCCCTTGGGAGGGGGTTGGGAGAAACCCTGATTTGTAGCTTTTGCTTGATTCCTATAGTATAGATACTCACTATGGTTGATTTCAAGTTGAGGAGAAATAACATCACCGACCAATAAGATCTCACAAGCTGTGACAGCAAACTCTGGCTTGGCACTTTGTTGACTCCAGGAAAGGGGGAAAGTGAGCTTGGCTCTAATGTGGCCTCCAGCAACCAAGCTTTCCTCCCACCCCTCAGGAACCTTCCCTCTGATCTCAACTCCTCAACTACATTCTTAGTGCTTGGGGTAGGGATGATGTCTCAAAGTCTTCTCTCTCATAGGATTCCTCACGGGGCACTTGAGGAGGCACTAAGTATGTTGACTGATGACAGTATTTTAAAATATTGCTGTTAGGCCGAGCGCGGTGGCTTATGCCTGTAATCCCAGCACTTTGAGAGGCCAAGGCAGGCAGATCACCTGAGGTCAGGAGTTCGAGACCAGCCTGGTCAACATGGTGAAACCCCGTCTCTACTAAAAATACATAAATTAGCCAGGTGTGGTGGCAGGCGCCTGTAATCCCAGCTACTTAGGAGGCTAAGGCAGGAGGATTGCTTGAACCTGGGAGGCAGAGGTTGCAGTGAGCCGAGATCATGCCATTGTCCTCCAGCCTGGGCAACAAGAGTGAGACTCCATCTCAAAAAAAAAAAAAAAAAAAAAAAAAAAAAAAATATATATATATATATATATATATATATATATATATATATATATATATATATATATATATATCTGTTAAAGGCTACACCACACTGTTTTTCACTATCAGAGGCATAAAGGCAACTCACCTCTTGTGATTTTCCCTGTAGACCTGATGAAGTTAACCAATGCCCCAAAGCTCCTCAATCTTGTGCCAGAGAGTATCCCTTCCATATTGCCAAGGAATGTTTAATGGAGCAAGGTTTGGGGTTTTGTAAAGTGTATTTATTGGGATGGATTTGGCTGAAGTCTAAGTCTAATTAATTGATATCATGGTTTAAAGTTGTATGCAGGAAGACCTGACAACTCACTAGCAGTCTACAATCGGCATTATTAGTTGGTATTAAGTCTTGAATAGTCTTTGTCGCCCTAAGAGAGAAGCTTCATTTTAGAAAGTAT